>NC_000010.11:51809761-51961277 GCF_000001405.40 Homo sapiens
CACGTCATCCCTCTTGCATTAAACCTTTCCATATCTTCCCATCACTCCTAGGAGAAAGCCTACCTAGTTCTTACCATTGTCTTCCAAGCACTGCCTGCCCCGACACTCTTCCAGACTCATCTCACTCTCCATCTTCTCCTTCTTTATTCTCTCATCCTCCCTTGTCCCAGTCACAGGTACTGTTTCATCTCCTTAGATGCTCCACAGCCCCTCTTAATAAAGATTATCTCAAGAGACTCCCCTCCCTTTGAATGGATGCATTACCAGAGTGATCTAAGATGTGACAACACATCAAGTATGCCTGCCATAGTGGAAAATAGAACCTGATATCTCTCAAAACTCTTATAAATGTCTGATTTCCCTTCCTTGAGTTGAATGGGGGCAATAATAGTATTCACCACTGAGCTTTACATTATATTTTCAATACAAATAATTGTAAAGTTCACAGACTTTGAAGATTTTTGGTGATAATTTGATTCCCACCTGACTTTCCAACTGTTAAAGAACTTGAAGATGTTGTTCAATTTTAAAAGTACTGATCATATGGTTTGGCCCCTTTTAACCAGAAGGGTAAATCTTTGCCAGGAAGCCCTCATTACTGGGAGGTGATTTGTAACCAAAATCCAAAACTGATGTCCCTCTATGGGGGCCTTGTAGCATCTGTATACAAAGGATCAAGATGATGGGTGAGCCCTTGGCAAGTCATAGAGCTGCTTTGATGATCCCTCCTTATTCCATAATTTCCATTCTAAAAATCCTGCCAGATTTTAGTGCTGTGTAAAGCTTCCTTATTCTTTATCTCCATTACTAGGTAGTGAGCCCCAAGTCCACATGTGCTTTTCCCTTATTCTCTAAAACAATAATGCTTGTATATATATCCAACATATTGTTAAATAAATGTGCTACCTATTTATATATATGTATTATGAATGTAAGTGATTTTCCCTTAAAAAAATATGACTTTGTTATTGAAACTTTATACTTTCATTTGATATCAGAATGGCCTTGACTAGGAAGTCAATTTTATGTTGAGATCACCCCTTGACTTCTGCCTATGGGCCATACTTCAACCAAACTTTTCTGAAACTTCTGTTTAATTGCTTTACATTTTTATCATTTTGTGGTTTCTGCCTCACCTGTCACTGGATGGGATCTACATAATGATGCATCATCACCTCTGTGGTCTGATAAATCAACAAGGATTAAATGATTTTAGATTTAGAAAAATCTAAGATGTGATGTCATTTAATTTCTCTGCACATTTTATAGCTGAAGCAACTAAGTCTCAAAGAGATCAAAATAAGCTCATACCCAGTAAAAAACAGAGCTTAGACTAAAACTCAGGTTTCTGAATCTCTAGCCTGAGTATTACACCTTACCTGGACTCCAGTTCATAGTTTGTTTTCTGATGGCAGCTCCCTACTACAGTAAACTAAAGTGAGGGTAGTTTAGTAATATTTTCATTGTTCCTTTCCACAAAGGCAACTTATTTAGATTATTAATTCAATATTATATAAACTTTTGTCTATATTCTAACTATATACCTTTATTTTCAATCTTTTAGAAATAAAATTTCTAAAGCCCTTACAAGCTTTTCCTTCTTTGATCCAATTTAAAAATCTGGTTTCATTTTTTTAATAACTCAATCCAACAGGCACTTTATTTTGATATTTTAATTGTATTTTATCATATTTCTAAAAGTGTAGTCGGGAGAGAATTAGAGTTTGTTGAGTAGAATATAAAGTTGTGAGGAGTGTGAAAGTTTCTTCATTCTACTGATGAGAGAACTGGGCCTAGATCAGTGAGGAGAGCTGCCTCACATCACCCAGAAAATTGCTAATAAAATGATCCCTGTGCCTGGGCAAGTCTGAAATTTTACTATCCCAGAATATCATCTTTGTTTTGTTCAAAATCTTCAAGGTAAAATTCCCCACAATCTTGACTAAACATATGTCCTAGTGTTTTTGCCTTTCCTATAGGATATTCTGTGAAGATCTTGCCTAAGTTGTCATATCCTCTAAGGAAAGAGAAAGTAACTGCACAGAGATGCCCTTGTAATATCCATTTTTAGTGATAGATTTGGAATGGGGCCAGAAAATGTGCATTTTTTAAGTTCTCACCTGATGCTCATGCAGCTAGTCTGGGGATCATTCTTGGAGAACCACTTATCTAGGACATAAGATGAAAGTACAAAATATATTTCAAATATTTTGAGTATTTGTATGACTTATTAATATGAAGAGTGCCTGGGTTTAAATCCTGGTTTCACCATTTATAGGTATATGATAGGTTGGTGCAAGAGTAATTGCAGTTTTGACTGTGAATTTTAAATCATTATAACTAGGCTCAAACACATCTTTATTTATCAAAATAGGAACCATTACAATCAACACATTTTTGCCAATGAGAAATAAGCTTGTTTATTCCTGTAGCATAAAAATCCATGCTTAGGGATTTGACAAACTCTTGGGAAAGCATTTTCTGCATCCTGCTGGTTGTGGAAGTGTTTTTTCTGCAAAAAGTTGTCGAGATGCTTAAAGAAGTGGTAGTCAGTTGACAAGAGGTCAGGTGAATACGACAAACGTGGCAAAACTTCTTAGCCCAATTCATTCAACTTTTGAAACACTGGTTGTGCGATGCGTGGGCAGGCATTGCATGGGGAAGAATCGGGCCCTTTTTGTTGACCAATGCCAGCTGCAGGCATTGCAGTTTTCAGTGCATCTCATCGATTTGCTAAGTGTACTTCTCAGATACAGTGGTTATGCCAGGATTCAGAAAGCTGCAGTGGATCAGACTGGCAGCAGACCACCAACGAGTGACCATGACTTTTTTTGGTGCAAGTTTGCTTTGGAAAGTGCTTTGGAGCTTTTTCTTAGTCCAGCCACTGAGCTGGTCATCACTGATCGCTGGATAAAATCCACTTTTCATTTCATGTCACGAACCAATTCGAGAAATGCTTCGTTGTTGTTGCACAGAATAAGAGAAGACGACACTTCAAAATGATGATTTTTTTTTCTCTCAGTTCATGAGGTACCCATTTATTGATCTTTTTCACCTTTCCAATTTGCTTCAAATGACAAATGACTGTTGAGTTTTTTGGCAAGTTCTTGTGTAGTTGTAAGAGGATCAGCTTAGATGATTGCTGTCAACTGGTCGTTGTCAACTTCCGATGGCCAGCCACTGTGTTCTCCATCTTCAAGGTTCTCCTCTCCTTTGCAAAACTTCTTGAAACACCACTGCACTGTACATTCATTAGCAGTTCCTGGGCCAAATGTGTTGTTGATGTTTCAAGTTGTCTCTGCTGCTTTAGGACCCACTTCAAACTCAAATAAGAAAAATCTTTTGAATTTGCTTTTTGTCTAACATCATTTCCATAGTCTAAAATAAGCATAAAATAAACAGCAAGTAATAAGCCATTAGCACAAAAGCATAAAGTAATAAGCCATTAGCAAAAAAGCATAAAGTAATAAGTCATTGGCAAAAAAGCATAAAATGATGTATGACATAACCACATTTATTTAAGAATGCATTCCAATATCAAATGGCAAATTTCAACAATGCCAAAACTTCAGTTACATTTGCACCAACCTAATATAATCGTAGGCAAGATTCTTTACATTTAGGTGCAATAAAAAATGTAGTAAACCCTCCCACTATCAAGGACCATAATTAGAAATAAACAAAATAATATGTTAGTAAAAATTTATTGAGTGTGTGCCAAGCAGTGTTCAAAATGCTGCAGATGTATTAACTTATTCTCAACAAAAATTCGTAAAGTACTATTATAACATCATTTCCATTTTACAGGTAAGAATACTAAGGCCAAACAGATAAAGAAAACTACACAGGTATTCAGGGTAGAGCCAGTGTCTATAGAACTGATACTCTTAAACTCCACCCTATACTGCCTCAATAAATTCTGGATACCCAAATATTAGTCCCTGCACATTGCTGTCCTGCTCATTAAATTGGCATTTACTTAGCCTGGAGATTTCAGCCTTAGGTTGATTTTGTTCTTGGAGTACCTGGGTTTCCTATTCACCATATTTTTCTCTCTCAGTGCCCTCCTCCCAAACCTCAGTAGTATTTTCCCTTCCTCTCACCCCTCTAGAATATGTTCTCAAAAAAATGCTCAGTAATAGCTTAAGAGCTATCACTTTAAACAAGTGACAATGTCTTAGAATTACATAGGCTCAGTGAAGGGGCTTTCAGTTGTTTGGAAACCCACCACCTGTACATAAGCAGACACCATGATTTCTAAAACAAATATTAAATGACTTACAACTCAGGATCAGTGTCTTCTGCAGACATTCAGACACTGCATTTCTGGTTCTTTTTTAACCTCCTGCCTTTGAGTTCCTCAAGCACAGGTTGTAGTCTGTAAGTGGGACCTGTTCTTGCTTAGGCTATGCTCTGTGATCTTTTAAGGAATTGAACTGTTTGGACACATACAAAGTATCTTTTGTACACTTTAACCTGAACAAATGAAGATGCCACTTTTTGGGCACAAATTCTATAAAATACAACAATATTGTCTAATCAGTTTGTAGAGATCACAATTCTGGGAAATTAAAATAATGATTTCCCTTTCCCCATATTTTTCTTCTATCATTTACAAAAAGAGATGGGAAAGAGAAGGTGCATATTAAAACAATTTGGGGGCTGTTAGAACTTAATTTTTTTTTGTTTGTTTCTTAAGACTCAATGACAGACCTATTGAGCTCTTAAGCTTTGAGCTTTAATAGAGCTTTTCTAGAAGTTTGTGAAACCTGCATTAGAATTAAGCTTGACAAAGCTGGTATAGTTTTAATTTGAAGGGAAATATTGGGAAGAATAAATAAAGAGGCACTTTCTCACCCCATTTTCAAGTTGGTTTGCTCACAGACCATTTTGTGGTAGCAGATTCATTCTCATTAAAGATGACACAAGGAGCAGGTAAATCTAAAAGTGGCCATTAATTTTATGTTGTCATCTAGCATTTGCACAAATGTCTCCATATTGATCCATTTTTTATTAAAAAAAGAAAGACAATGTAATCTCAGATATTTGCATAATTATAGGCTAATTTTTAAAAAATTATTCATCTGCACATTTCATATTGTTACTTTCACCTCCATACATGTAAGTTTTTTCTACTTCTTGCAACTAATTAATAAGATAGTTGATTATATTTGTGGTAAAATCTTCCACTTGAGTCAGTAATGAATCTCACACAGATAAGTCCTATTTAGTCCAAGAAAAGACTAAGTCCTCAGCTAAGGGACTTAATAAATTGATTCATTGTGCTGGCCTCTCCCTGAGCCTGGGTTACCAGGGATCAGTCTCTTTAAGGACTGTAGGCAACTTTTCCTCACTATCTCCATAAGAATACTTTCTCAAAACTCTGGGGTTCCAAAAATCTAAAACAGTGTGACAAAGCAGTTTAATATTCCTCTAGCCTGTTGTAGCTTTGAACCTTATAAATCTTTCCTGTAGTAAGGCTTATTTTATTTCTGTATCATCCAGATTGAGCCTAATAACAGTTCCATGCTTGTAAAATGTTTTGTACACAGAGGATTAGTGCATCTGGGAGTGAGTTCTTTTCCATAAGGAAAACCATTCTGTAACAAACAAATTCAGAGAGAATCCATGAGTTACTGGGAAAAATTAAGAAGGGTGGTCTTCTGGGATCCCAGCAACATAGATTTCTCTGCTTGATATAGAAACCCACTTCCTCATGGTTGGAGAGAAATCTGATAGAGAATCGGAAGTGGGAATGAAAAAATCCTGCTGAGGTGCAAAATAAATACTAGGGCAATTTAGACAAAGAAAGCGTCTTAGTGTGTACATTTCATCTGTCCTGAGAAGAGGCCAATACATCAGTTTGTCAGTTTAAAAAAAGCATGAGAAAGTCAGAATTAGCATCATAGGTCCTTTTTTGTTTGTTTGTTTTTGGTTTTGGCTTGGAATAAAGTTAATCATAATTTATTTATCAATATGATTTTACCAAGGCGAACTCTTAACGGACAGCTTAGAATCTGGCTGTTGGGCAGCATGGGTGTCTATGAATCTGAGAATCCTGATTTTCTGACTCTTTCTAGGGTGCAGGGAAAGCAGCCCCTGGAAAGGGAAGCCCTTAGAGGCAGCATGAGCACAGTGCTTCACAGCACAACTAGGGGCTTTGTTGTGAACACTCCCTTTACCAAACCCAGTGTGAGTGTTTTCAAGGCAGTGAGGGAGAGCAAGGGAAATCCAAAACTCAAAACAGAATAAGCTGGCACCTGCCTCCTTACACACATTATTATCTCACTTAATTTTGACAGCTCCTTTAAGAAAGTTAATCATAATTTATTTACCAATATGATTTTACTAAGGCATTTCCATTTTACTGAGGCAGTAACCAGAATCGTGAAAATTAGCGGTTTCCCAGCATCAGTAATGAATCTCACACAGATAAGCCCTGTTTAGTCCAAGAAAAGACTAAGTCCTTGGCTAAGAGACTTAATACATTGATTCATTATGCTGGCCTCCCCCTGAGCCTGGGTTTGGATTTAAAACCAGGTCCAATCCAAAAATCCTCATTCTGTTAATTTATCAGGCCAATTTCCTATAAATGGGTAATGTCAGAGGAAGAATAATAGAACAAATACTTGTAAACTTTTTATAGAATAAAAAAAGTAATGTCAATTGGTGAATATGTGCAAAAATCATTACAAATATATTGAAAATATTCCTTGGAAGTGCATTGCTATAAACATTTCAATTCATGGAAAAGTTCCTAACATATAATTTTGGCATGTGTGTGTGTGTGTGTGTGTGTGTGTGTGTGTGTAATCATCCATCCATAGTTAAATCTGAGGTTTTTAAAAGTAATTTCAAAACAGAGGAGAGAGGATTTTTTCTTTGAGTTCTAATAATGATGTAATTTTATTATTTACTTTGTGTGTGTATAATAAGTGATAGAATATTTATGCTAAAGCCCAGAAGAACTCCAATTAAGCAGCACAATTTTAGTTATTTTATAAATACATATAGAGTGCTTAAAATTATTCAGTACTTTTCAAGCAATTGAATAAATACTGTTTTCCCTGTTGGCTGGAGGGGGTCCAATGGGTAAACATTGTATTCCAGGTTTGGAAAAAACTATGTAAGTGCTCTGGTTTGTTGTGCAAATGAAGATAAATCAAAGTTGCCTTGCAGGATGGATTTACTTGTTTTATTTTTTAAAGAAATTAAATACATTAGTAAATCTAACAGGAACACAGCCAAGAAAGCAAGAAAAGAAATATTAAAATTTAAGAATTTTAATTACACAGAATTCTAAATTGTTACAAATTTTGACTTCAGGTTGGTTTTATGTGCGTTGAACTCTGTACACTTAGCATTGCTTCTTGAAATTAGGTCTTGGTGTTTGGGGCAGCGGGGCCCAAAGGAATGGCAGATTTTGTACTTATTTTTATTTTTTTTAAATTATACTTTAAGTTCTGGGATACATGTGCAGAACGTGCAGGTTTGTGACAATGGTATACATGTGCAATGGTGGTTTGCTGCACCCATCAACCCATCATCTAACATTAGGTATTTCTCCTAGTGCTATCCCTCCCCAACCCCCCCCCTCCCCTGACAGGCCCTGGTGTGTGAAGTTCCCCTCCCTGTGTCCATGTGTTCTCATTGTTCAACTCCCGCTTATGAGTGAGAATATGCAGCGTTTGGTTTTCTGTTCCTATGTTAGTTTGCTGAGAATGATGGTTTCCAGCTTCATCCATGTCCCTGCATAGGACATGAACTCATCCTTTTTTTATGGCTGCATAGTGTTCCATGGTGTGTATATGCCACATTTTCTTTATCCAGTCTATCACTGATGAGCATTTGGGTTGGTTCCAAGTCTTTGCTATTGTGAACAGTGCTGCAATAAACATATGTGTTGTTGTTATTTTTAATTTATGTTTCTATCTTGTCTGGATAAAAATATGACAAAATAATCTAGGACCAACCAATAAATGAGTATGAAAAGTAGTTAAATACTGAACAGCAAGAAGTTATTGACTTGTTTTCAGTTAATGAATATTATTCTAAATGACATTAACTTCATTTTTTCCTTCCTCTTCTTCTCTTTTCTTTCCTTCTCTCATTCACAATAAATCAATACATTCATATGTATAAGTGTAGTCAATTGCTTCTTAAAGGTAAGACTTATGTATAAACAACAAGTAATCACTTTTTTTCATTTAAACTGGTATATTCTGCTATGTTAAATGTGTCCAATTCATATTTTAAGTCCTTTTGGACACCTATCTCAACAGATGGAAGACAGTGTGCCAGAATGTAGTAGCAAGGATTGGGCCATCTGAAAATATGCAGAATTCTATATGGGACATATAGAATTAACCTAAATCAGATTTTGTTATCATATAGAAACACATCAAAATTAGCTTTTGTATTAGATAAGAAGTCAAACCAGTGCAAGGAGATTGGAGTCTCTTCTAGAATATTATTTTAGAATTTATTTAGCCTACATTAAGGATACATTGTCTCACTGATAACAGTTCATCCAGAGAGTCTTCACTGTTTCTGACTCTCAGAATTCTAACATCTAGTTAGTCTTTCTAGCACTAAACAGTTTCTACTTAACTTCGAAGCCCCATAATATAGACAAGAGATACTCTGTTTGATTACAAAAAAAAATCAAACATGTCAGAAAAGAGATATTTTCTTTCTTTTACAAGTAGTGTTTCTTCTTTATAGCCTTTGTTAGATAGCTCTGACATCTCAAAATACATGGCTGACTACTTTAAATAGATATTTTTTGTATAAATTTCACAACAATCTGATTATACTACACTATACAATGTGTTTGATCTCTCCTATTTAATCCCCAGATGTTTGCTTTCTGAGAATCACAGCACACGCATACATATTCTCTCTTCAGTACTGGCTTTGTCACTGCCTTAGTCTGTTTAATATTGTTGTAAAAGAATACCAGAGGGCCGGGCGCGGTGGCTCACGCCTGTAATCCCAGCACTTTGGGAGGCCGAGGCGGGCGGATCACGAGGTCAGGAGATCGAGACCATCCTGGCTAAAACAGTGAAACCCCGTCTCTACTAAAAATACAAAAAATTAGCCGGGCGTAGTGGTGGGCGCCTGTAGTCCCAGCTACTTGGGAGGCTGAGGCAGGAGAATGGCGTGAACCCGGGAGGCGGAGCTTGCAGTGAGCCGAGATCCCGCCACTGCACTCCAGCCTGGGCGACAGAGCGAGACTCCGTCTCAAAAAAAAAAAAAAAAAAAAAAAAAAAAAAAAAAAAAGAATACCAGAGGCTGGATAAATTATAAAGAAAAGAGGTTTATTTGACTCATGGTTCTCCAGGCTGTACAAGAAGCATGATACCTGCATCTGTATCTGAGGAGGGCTTCAGGATGCTTCCCCTCGTGGTGGAAGGTGAAGGGGAGAAGGTATGTATAGAGATCACATGGTGAGAGAGGAAGCAAGAAAGAGAGGGGAGGTGTCAGGCTTTTTTTTTCTTTTTTAGCAACCAGCTTTCACAGGAACTAATAGAAAACTCACTCACCCTTTTCCCATCCTGCCCAGGGCATTAATCTATTCATAAGGGATTCACTCCCATAACCCAAATACCTCCCATTAGGCCCCACCTCCAACACTGGGGATCAAATTTCAACACAAGTCTTAGAGGGGACAAACATCCAAACTATAGCAGTCAGCAAACTTCATTATGTCCATGTTTCTGCATACCTCACTATTTTGGTCCAAGAACCTGTCTATATGTCTTATCCTGATCTCACCTGGCTCATCGTGTCCTGCTGCCATCCATGCCAATTAGTTTGATCTCTACAGAGTTAGTTGAAGCTGGGTTTGATAAAATAAATGGAGATAGTGTTTGCAGGAGTCAGGAAAAGGAAATAGAGTCTAGGGGAGTAAGTGACCCTCTAGAAGGAATAGAATGTTGGTGAAAGAGCCAGAATACAAACCAGGGAAACAAGCCACACAGTCCCAGGGGCACATAGGGACAGATCTGGAATTTTCATGAAGCTGAGGGTCTATGCTGAAGACAGTGAATTAGAGAGTGAATCACACTAGAGTAACATTGTAGCTAAAGACCTTGATATACCCAGAAAAAGTCATAACTTGAGGAGAGCTGAAGTCAATGATAAATTCATAATCATTGAGAATGAAAAGCTTCATCATCATGACAATTGAGGCACAGATGACATCTTTATGTGGGTTTCAAATAGCTTTTTTAAAAAAGATTTTAAAAATTATTCAATGTTCAACTTATAAATTAATAAAGAATATATTTTATAAAACTTATAGAAACCGAAAAGACAAATCATTGCAGTCACCTTCCAAAAATACCTAATGTCAGATACCTACTGATAGCTATTTAAGGATTTTACTATTTATGTACAACTGTTATATGCAACTATTTTCCTGTTTATGTGCAACTTTTAACCTAATTATTTTAGTGACAACTATGCAGCTTTAGTGTTGCTGATAATTTAATATTATATCCTTCCATGTTATTTAATATTAAAATTTTCCAAACTCTTCTTTGTTTTCTTATGCCGCCACCATCTACTTCTTTTTCTCAGTTTTAAGGATTCTTAGTTCTGTGAGACCAGGGGATAGGGTAGGTGTAATAATAAAAAAGCATTAGAATGAAAGACAACATAACCTCAATCTACAGTGTGCATCTTGAGCACCTGTTGTGTGGTAGGACCTCTGTCCCCAAAATGTCCAACCTACAGAAGCAGAGGCACACCTCCTGCTAATCTGATTCTGTGCCTTTTTTTTCCTGCTGTTTCCTATGAGCCTAGGACCACACCCCACACCTTCACACATACCCTTGCTATGGCTTCAGAGCAGGAGCTAATCTGGTTATTCTTAGGCAGTGGAAAATGGCAATGTCTGGGAATGATCCTGGAGGAAAGCGAGACTGATTTTTGGCTTTGTAATGGAAAACTTGTGGTTTGCTTTTAAGCCTACTGTACGCACTGGGTTTTCATGTGGATAAAGAAGATTCTCATAGATCTTTTCTAGTTTTGATGGGGAGAAAATTAAGTTGGGTACTTCCTAATTTGGTTATAACTCTTACAGTATTTTTTATTTCAGTATATCAGAGTACTGTAAAATACACAAATCTTGAAAGTACAGATCAATGAATGTTTACATATTTATATACTCATGTAAAAAATACCAGCTCACAATACAGGACATTTCCACTTCTTTGGAAGGCCCTCCCAAATCTCCTTGTAGTTAATCTCCTCTGCCAAAGGTAACCACTATTCTGAGTTCTACCATTACAGATTAGTATTGCCCTTTTTCAACTTCAGATGAATGGAATCAGGTAGTATGTACTCTTCTGTGTCTGGTTTCTTTTGCTAAACATTATGTCTAGAAGAGTCATACCTTTTGCTGTGTGTATCAAAAGTTTATTCTTGCTTTGTAACATTCTCTTGCATAAATATGCCACCATTTGTTTATTCATTTTTACTGACAAAGGGCATTTGGATTATTGCCATTTTGAGGCTAGTATAAATAAAGCTGCTGGAAACATTCTTGAGCATGTTTTTCGTGAGCGTCTGCCTTCATTTCTCTTAAGTATATACCTGAGAATAAAATTTCTGGGTTATATAGGAAGCATATATATAACTTTTATAGATAGTGCTATATAATTTTGCACAGTGGTTGAACTAATTTATGCTCCTAAAAAATATAAAAAAAGAGGTTTGTTCCAGATCCTAACAGTATTTAGTATTGTCAATCTTAATTTATTTGGTTAAAATATTTTAATCAAATAAAATACCACATAGTCTGCAAATATTTTGAGTGTACACCCCATTAACAATATTTTTAGCACGTTGACCTATATATTTATATTTAGCACATTGACCTATATATATTTTAGCACATTGACCTGTATTGACCTATATATATTGACCTTATATATTTAAGACATTAAATACTTAAATGTCTGAACTAATACATATACAAAATAAGATTTATGAAAAGATAAGATATTAAATAGAATTGAGAGCCCAGAAATAAACTCATGCATATGGTCAGTTGATCTTCAGGGAATCTTTATGCACTGTTGATGGGAATGTAAATTGTTACAGTCATTATGGAAAACAGTATGGAGCTTCCTCAAAAAATTAAAAATAGAACTACCATATGTTCAAGTAATCCCATTTCTGAATACATAGCCAGAGGAAATCAAATCAGTATGGTGAAGAGATATCTGCACTCCATATTTACTACAGTGTATTCACAATAGACAGGGCATGGAATTAATCTGTGTCCATCTACAAGATGAATGAATAAAGAATATGTATATATATACACACATATATATATACACACATATATATAACATATGTATGTATGTCATATGTATATATGTATATATACATATGTCATTTATGTGTGTGTATATGGTGTGTGTATTTATATGTGTGTATACACACACAATGAAATATTATTGAGCCTTAAAAAGAGAAAATACTGCCATTCGCAACATGGATGAGCATTGAGGACATTGTGCTAAGTGAGATAAAGCCAGGCACAGAAAGATAAATACTGCATAATCCTACTTAAGTGTAGAAACTAAAAAAAGTAGAACTCCTAAAAACAAGAGCGTGAACTGGGGGTTTATAGGGCTAGGAATTGGGGAAATAGGGAGCTATTGAACAAATGGCGCTAAATGAAGAAAAAAAAGGTAAGAGAAACGTAGATAGAATTAGCAATATTTTTTTCTGTCAGCCACATAGATTGTCTTGTGCAATTTTTGTAAATACCCCTCTACTTTAAGGCATACACACGTACCATGGGTCATAATGAAATCAGTGATTACCACATGGATTGATAATGTTCTGTGTCCCACCAGTTTCTCCTGTTCAGTTCTGGAGATAATCTAAGCTAGATGAGAGTGCCTAGCTCTGTAAAATTTAGAAAAGGCTTAGGGGGCTAATAATTGTGAGTCAGTCCAATGTGGTCATCCCCCTGTGTTTCCCTTGTGTGGTGCATCAGGGCAGTGCACCCTGCCCAGGGGACAACTTTAAGATGTATGTGCATGCCTGGAGTGTAGCCCTTTTTCTTCTGTTTGTTTTGCATACAGCTGATTTTTCCTTTGTTGGTGGTTCTTCTAAACTGGTGGTTCTCAAAATATGATATGGAGATTCATGGGCATTCCTGACACTATTTAGTGGGAATTCATGAGGTCAAAACTATTCTCATAATGCTAAGGTATTATTTTCCTTTTCTTTTTCATTGTCTCACAAGGTTACAGTGGAGTTTTTTAGAGGCTAAGACAGCTAATAATATGTATGCTTGGATACTTATATGTTTTAAAACTTTCCAGTCACTATTTAACATGGTAAATGTAGATAGATACAACACATATAAACAACTGTTAGGAATGTATAAGGGTCCTGGGACCAAAAAGCTTGAGAACCACCCTTTTAAATTAAAACAAGATAAAATGAGGGCAGATAAACAATATGCTAGACTTTAATAAAAAGTCTAACATAATAGGAAGCATGGATAGATCCATGCTTTTGGGGAAAAATTTTAATGGAACTCATTAACCAATAAATTATATCCATTGCTTCTGTATGGCATATAGGGTGAAACTAATAACAGTGGAATTACTTTGAAATGCAAAGGGATAACCCTGGACTAGCCATTTCAAACTCAGGAGCCAATTGTAACATGAACCACGGGGCTTCCAAGTTTTCTCAGTGGAAGGGCATTTCTTCTGTCTTCATATCTAGTATATAACATTTGACTGTACCTCTCTTCTCAGCATCATCAAGTCCTGACACTTATGACACATGTCAGAGAATTCATCCATGAATTTATCTATAAATTTTTGAAAATTTCTTGAAACATTTCGATGTTTGAGAGAGACAGGTTAAAGCCCAGTGTTAGCTATGCATTTTTTAGGTTTCCTAATTCTGTCTTGAAAGAGGGCATCAATGTCTAAAATACCTAAACTATGGTAGTATTCCATAGAAATGTTGAAATGATTTAAAATATCCATCCCTAATTGGTATAAGAATTATCTTCAGATAAATTGTTGGTAATATTATCCAGAATTTTTTTTTCTCTCTCCTTTTTTTTTTTTTTTTTTTTTTTTTAAGACAAGATCTTGCTCTGTCACCTGGGCTAGAGTGCAGTGGTGCAATCTTAGCTCACTGAAGCCTCGAACTACTGGGCTCAAGCAAATCTTCTGCCTCAGCCTAACGAGTAGCTAGGACTACATGTGTGCACCACCATGCCCAGCCAATTTTTGTACATTTTGTAGAGATGAGCTTTTGCCATGTTGCCTAGGCTGGTCTTGAATTCCTGGGCTCAAGTGATTCTCCCGCTTTGGCCTCCCAAAGTTCTAGGACTATAGGCGAGGGCCACCACTCCTGGCCTATTATCAAGGATTTGTATATCCATATGATAAATTCCTTATAGGTCTTGGTGCTTGGACAGCATTTATCCTGCCTCTTGATGAATGTGAATACTTTAGTTAGTCAGACATTGCAAACCACATTTCCATTATTGCCTGAGATGAATTTAGCCTTAGATATAATGTTCAACTAGAGTAACTTAGTGTTGGAAATACAGTATGCATTTTCTTTTGGAAATTTTGTTATTTTAACTTTTTTCATCTGGCTTTATTTAAGTTTTTATATTGTTGATTGTTTCTTATCTTTTGTGGATATAGGCATAGCATAAGAATTAGTGGATTAATGTCTAACACACTTGTAAAAGTCAAGGTGTTTGTGTTAGTCCATTTTGCATTACTATAAAGGAATATTTGAGACTGGGTAATTTATGAAGAAAAGAGGTTTATTTGGTTCATGGTTCTACAGGCTGTATGAGCATACTGCCAGCATCTTCTTGGCTTCTGGTGAGGCCTCAGAAAGCTTTTACTCATGGCAGAAGGTGAAGGGGGAGCAGGTGTGTGACATGGCAAGAGAGGCAGCAAGAGAGAGAGGAGGAGGTGCCAGGCTCCTTTGAACAACCAGCTGTCACGTGAGTTAACAGGGCAAGAACTCACTCATTACCATGGGGAGATCACCAAGCTATTCATGAGGGATTCACCCCCATGACTCAAACACCTCCCATCAGGCCCCACCTCCACTAATGAGGATCACATTTCAACATGAGATTTGGAGGGACAATACCCAAATCATATCAGTGTTCAATGTTTGGAATTATAATTTGAGTACCAGTTATAATTTGGATAAAAAATAGTTTTTCTCAAATTACTGGGGCCTTTATCTGTATAATCAACATAATTTTCCCCCATGTTAGTGGTTTTCAGCTTTTTATTTGTACTCCAAACTACCAGAAATACTGACTTACTCTGGTTTGTAAGAATAGGTCACTGTAGCCATAATGTTAGTTATTGAAGTTGGAAATAGTTAAAACTAATTGTGAGTGGAGTATACATGTACATTTTCTGTATGGGCTAGAAATTAATTAGGCAAATTAATAGAGACCAACTAAGTATTTTTAGATTTTAGAAATCACTGAGTCACATCTGCATGATTTTTGCTGTTTTCAGATTCTACCAAGCTCTTTCCCCTTTCTCCTGTTATCTGATCTTTGTAATGATGCAAGAGCAAAAAGATCATAATATAAGAATAAAAATCAGTCCTCTCAGGAAAAAGTACAGTAGGTGTTCCAAATGGACAGAAAAATCAAGAAAAAATTTAACATTACACGTTCACAGACAGGGACAAGAGCACTGTAGGCAAAGACACACCCTGAGCAACAGTACAGAGATGGGAAAATTTAGTCGATGATGCCTTTAGAGAGTCCGTGGTCTGTTCCTGCCAGTCTCCTGTGCCTACAACAGCTGCCTGACACCTCACCCTGAGCTCCCCAAATTCTAGCTCCCATATTTCCCCTGGAAATACAATAAGGAGTAATCTAAACTTAATTTGGTAGATGACAGAAAGCTATTAAAGGTATTTGAGCAGGTGTCAGAATTTAGCTGCACATTTTTAAAATTAATCTAGCAGGAATGCATGAGATGGTTTGGGGTGTGGAGGGAACTGGAGACAAGGGCAGAGAGGGTCAGTCATCAAGGCTCAAAACCGTCTCATCCCTAAAATCTCCAGATTGAAGTTCCCAAGTCTGGCCTTTGTCTATGATTTCTCAGCAGTTGATGCTGTGGGGAAGTAAAGATGAGAAATCAGAGAAGAAAGGAGAAGCAGGTGGGTTTACAAGACAGTGAACTTGATGCCCATTCATGGGTACAATACTAGAATAGTATGGCAAGGAGTTGATTTGTAAAAGCTATTAGGGTAAGGGGCCATCATGAATTCTCTATCTTATCATCTCTTTCTCAGATGGCTTTACTAGATTATTAGCTGGAGAAAATGTGATAGCCACTGTGGATTAGACTGTGGTAGTACATTTAACAGTGTCACTGTGGATAAGATAGAACAATTTAGGCTGAATATGAGGAGAGTCCCACAGCACACTACTCTAAATGCAGCTCTTAAAAACTCCAACAAAAGAAGCTAATAGTTTCCTACTATAAACCAATATAACTGCCCCAGATCCCATGCTGTGCATACATTTTTAAGAATATGTTCTAGTAAAATATATGGCAATAGAGAAAATTTGTTTAGCTACTCCCTCTGGGAACCAAGAATCTTTCACTTAAATGTAGCTAGTCCTCCAGAGGATTGAGGAAGTGCTGGAGGACTAAGTTGATAATAAAAACTCTCAATTTGAGTAGAGTTTTCTTAAGTACTGTGTTTATTCCTTCACAAATGGATAAAAGCTATTAATAAGGCCCATTAAATGTTTATATCTGCTGGATAAACTCCTAGGACTTATCATTTGGGAAACAGGGATTGCCTCTTAGGAGGAATGGACCCTGTCCACAAGTGTCTACTATGTCTGGGGAAAGGGTTTCTTTACAGAGAGCTGGAACCATGAGAGCCAGAGTTCTCATTCCCAGGTAAAGAACAAAGGAGAAAGGAGGAGGGCTCTTCTCTTCATGTGTTTGTCACCTGTTAATCATCAAGAAAGGAGAGATTGAATTATTTGGGAAGTAGCTTGTATCTTATTAAAATATAGCACAATAGACAAGATGTGAAATAATTTTACTCTTGTTATTGCCTGTAAGAAGACATTAATTGAACAAACTTTCAGCAACAAGTTTAGTTTAGTTTCCCCTGAGGAAAAAATAAACCACCACAACAGTGGTGCTGAGAGACAGCCTATATTGTACAGTCCATTAACACTAAAAGAAACAATTAGTTTTCCCAGTGATGACTGATGAATTATTTTAACTTGCTTATAAACATTAAGGGTACATCAACAAAGCAAAGTTTCCCAAAGTATTCAAGACAAAGAAAAACAACACAATTGTATGTTTGTTTATTATCTCAGTATTCGGATGATTGCCCTAAATATTCAATTTCTTGATTGCATACAGCCATTTTCGTATATACCCACCAACTGACAAGATTATCATACAAATAAATAAAAATTATGAAAAAGGTTTGAAAGAGTATTATTTATTTATGCAGTATTTTTGGCTAATTTTTATTCATGAAGATAATTAAACTGAAAATAATATCTAGATTTCATAAACATAAATCATAGCTAAATATCAGTAAGAACTTGGTTATGCACAAGGACTTTTGGACACTGAAATGGTTCTATGAAATGTATAATTGTCTTCTTTGAGGATCCTTCAATGTAGAAAAGATAATATTATATTTTTGATACTCTTAATTTCTACACATAATGATTTACTAAATTCCAAACTGGGTTTATTAACTCATGAGTGTGGATGCATTTTATCATTGAATTCCAGTAACTACTATTTCTAGGGAACTAAAATTGAAGACCTCATTTTAACATAAAAAGATACATCATGATGATTCTGAAAATGAGTTAATTGTGTAAAAAGAAAAAACATATTGCTATGTCTTTCACTGCCCTTTACTTTCTAACTGGAAAAATGCCATCTTATAGAACAAGGAACTGGATCTGTCACAGATAAATTCTATTTCTTTGAAGGTTGAATTTCTTTCTAATTCCTGGAACAATTCAGAAAGTTTAGGATTATATTATCACTTAACCAGACAACTAGATTGCATCTATTCTGACAACTGGATACCTGAAGAAGTACAGGTTTTCTCTGGTACCTGAGAAACTTTTTATTTATGATAATTAGAACTTTTAAAATGATGGTAATGTCAGGCTTTGAGACTGTGGACAACTACTTTTCATCACTTGGAAGATATATCTCTGAATTATTGGAAAAGTCAGTAATGACTAATTTTACTCTTATACTGAAAAATTTTAATATGTGAATGTTTAACATCTATATATATTAGGTTGGAGCAAAAGTAATTGGTGCAACCTTTGGATCAACCTAATAGAATAAATGGCAGCAAGTTGTCAAAGGAGCTCAAATTCTCAAAATAGTTTAGAATTTTAGATTGCCAAAGCTTTACTCTTATTTACCTTCACGTATTATAGGAGAACTTATTATTCTTCAACAGGAAAGTATATTTCATAATCCTCACGTGAAAAAAAAATCAGAGACATTTTAACATATTGATAAGGGCTTTTTGACAAAGAAGCCATTTGACTGCCTCATTGGTGCTCAGACTTGTCATTCTTCCTGTGTTACTGAGCAAAGACTGTTCACAGCATTTAAAGTTGTGTTAGGAAATTACTTGTTAATTGCAAAGGGGGAGAGAAGGGCTTTTACATTAGAGAAGTGGTAGTCACCACTTTAAACAAAGCATTAAAATCAGTATCACTTATACTGGAACAACCTGATATTCTGTGGCTCTTGGTGTAAAACAATGTGAATTACACAGCATCGTCTTTGATGTGTTCTTGCCAACAATGTTAAATTTTGTTCTAATGAAGGCTTTGATATAACTTTTAGTTTCTAGAAAACACAAGAATATAGGAAAGAGTTACTGCTAGCAACAACTGGATAAATAGACAGATGATAAGGCAGGCATTTAATAAGGAAACTAGCTTGGTTACTTCAAAACATTTATTTTGTTTCAAGACAAAGCAGAATAAAAATGTTCAAGAAACTGTTCAAGTTTAAAAGAAGCTAAAGAGACATAATATCCACATCAAATCTGTATTAGTTATCTATTGCAGTATGACAAATTACACCAAAACGTACTGGTTTAAAACAACAAACATTTATCATCACGCAGTTTTCATGGGTGAGAAATCTGAGTGTAGCTTAACTGGATGCCTCTGACTAAAGGTCTCTCATGAAGTTGCAATCAGCTATTGCCCAGGTTGCAGTCTCATCTGAAGCCTCAACTGGAGAAGGAGGGTGTGAGAATCTGCTTCAAGCTCATTCATGTGGCTGTTGATAAGTCTGTTTCTGGCCGTGTGAACATTTCCACAGGGATGCATTACAATATGGCAGTTGGCTTCTCTAAGGATAAATGATGCAAGACAGATCTGAGAATGACCAAGATGGAATTCCATGTCTTCTTATGCTTTCATTTTAAAAGTGACATTTTGTCACTTCTGTATTTTATTCCTCAAAAGTGATTTGATAAGTCAAGCTCACACTCAAAGTGGGAAGGTGGCAGGTTTACACAATGACATGAAGACCTTGGGATCAGTCAGGGATTACTGGTGGCTACCTTAGAGGCTACCTACCACAGAAGACATAAAGCCTAACTCTTTTCTAGTTGCAGAAGATAAAATCTATGAAATATATTTTAACAGCAATAAGGAAAATTTGAATATGAATTTGATACTAAGTAATATTAGGAAATTATTGTTAGTGTTTGTGTCAATGATGCTGTGGTCATGTAAGAGAATGCATGTACTTATTCATAAAAGATACAGGGTTGAATGTATAGGTCTAAAGGACTATGACATCTTATTTTCTAAATACACGTGAACACACACACACATACATGTGTATGCATGCACACATACATAGATAAAGCAACAACTATTTTTGAATCTAGGTTGTGGGTACTTGGATGTTCATTTTCCTGCTCTTCCAACTTTTTAGTCTGTTTGGAATTTTTATATTTAATAAAGTATTAAGTAATTTGGTGTCTTAGGTGAACCCTACCACTGTCTTGTTCCAACAAGGCCAGGGGAAGCAGGTTGCACTGATCTATGCCAACTTTTCAAATTGGTAAGAGCTGTTCAAAATGTTATGGTAAAAACAAAAACAAAAACAAAACTCATGATGTTGATGAAACCAGCTTTCTCCAGGTCTATTTCTATAGTTATGGTACCTATCATATTCCTTAATACCTATATTTACATGGTGACCACTTCGGGAAAGGGTGAAAAGATTTCCTGGGAGAGTAGGGTGTCTGTGGATTTGATATGTTCTATACTCAGTTAATCTAGTTTTATACTCTTTATGCTTTTCTTCAGGATTTTTATTAGCTTTTGTTTTGGAACTTTCCACCATATAACAGCTCTTCTACTTAAATCTGCCATTACCCTCTCAATATTTAACACTATTTTCACACACTCTTGAATAATGAGTCTTCAGTATGATTTGCATCTACTGCTAATTTTAACAGGGCTACTTTTTGAGCCATCTAACAGTTATCCAGAGTACATAATTTTCCAAGTTGTTAGCGATACTGTGATTCTTTAATTATATATGGTGTTCTGTTTGGAAATTTTGTTCCAGGTCATACATACACATTCACTAATAATAGGACAGTTTGGCTTATTTGTTCTTTCTAGTCCTATTGCAATATAATTGTGATCTCTATAGTATAATTACTTATTGAACTTCTCTTAAAGTGTTTTTTTTTTTGTTTTTTTTTTTTTTTTTTTGAGTCACAGTCTCACTCTGTCGGCCAGGCTGGAGAGCAGTGGCACAATCTCGGCTCACTGCAACCTCTTTCTCCAGGGCTCAAGTAATTCTCCTACCTCAGCCTCCTGAGTAGCTGGGATTACAGGTGTGTGCCGCCACACCAGGCTAATTTTTGTATTTTTAGTAGAGACAGGGTTTCTTCATGTTGGCCAGGCTGGTCTCGAACTGCTGACCTCAAGTAATCCACCCTCCTGGGCCCCCCAAAGTGCTGGTATTACAGGCGTTAGCCACCGCACCCTGCCTAAAGTGATTTATAAAAAGCTGTTTATCATAACATTTAATGTTTTCAACTGTGAGATCATACGCTCAGGAATAAATACTAAATCTGTGCTACCTTTCTTTTTTTTTTGCCTTTTTCCTTACCAGTTCCACTAGTTAACCTCTACTCATCTAAAACCATTATCGACTGAGGTTTTTATGAGACTAATGTATGTTTTCCCAGTAGTACATTCATTGTCAAAATGAACATCATTGATAGATCTTAGTGACAACTTTGATATGTGGCAATTCCCTGTTCTTAGGTATATTTAAGAGACACAAGGCCTTATTTTTATTTATATATTTATTCTACTGAAATCCAGAGTACTTTTACAATTTAACCCTTAGCCCAAGGTATTTCAAACAATGTGTCACTTATTTATGTATTTATTTTTTTCTGATAGCAGAATCATTATATGTTCATGGTAGAAAATGTAGAAACTACAGGAAAGCATGAAGGCTAAAATAAAATTAAAAACCACTTCAATGCTAACCCCAGAAAAAAAAAATCACTGGTAACATTCTGGTCTATTTTAAACTTTTCTCCCTCTACCAGCCAAGAAAATGTAAATGAGACAAGGTGGGAATTTCTTCATGTAAGAGGAAAACAATAAAACAGAACAAAACAAAAGCAAGAAAGAATAAAAGTAGCCTGTGGGTAGAAAGACAACCCAGACCTTTTATGGCTGCTCCGTAAATTTTTCCAAGACCCAAGTTACTCATAGTTCACTACTATTCCATCCTTTGAGTTCACTATATTCCTAGGGTACCTCATTTTCATGGCCCAAGATGGCTAATCCAGCTTATCTCTTATCTCTGCATTCTGGCCAGTAGGATGGAGGAAGGGAATTGAATGAGGGCCCATCCTCGGCCCTTAAAAGAGGCTTTCTGAGAACTCCATGCTTCTTCCATATACATTGAATTGTCCAGAATTTAGTCACCTTGTTGCAAAGGTAGGTGGGCAAGAAGTAGGAGTCTTAGAAAGAAAGGAAGAATAGGAGAATAAATGAAAGAAACTATCAATTTTTTGGTAGGAATTCTCTCTAGTTGGTGGGATTATGGATGACTTATTTTTCCGTATATGTATATATTACATATACTTGTATTTTCTAAATTTGATATAATAAGTGTACAAAGAGGTTTAAGAAAACTGGAAAGAGTTAATTTCTGTAAGACAGGTGAAAATATCAGGCATTTTTCAGTTGTTTAAAAATAATCAACTGTTTTCTTTTTAAAAAAACTTACATAAAAGTAGTGCTGATATTTCAGCTTGAAGAAAGTAAACCAATGCTCTATAGAGGCTAAGAAATTTTCCAATATCACAAAGCTTATGCATAATGGAAACTGTCAAGCAGTTAAAAAGATCTCATTTTAAATTCATGCTTATTACACAAAGCAACAGTTATTCCCTCAAAGGAGGGAAACTGATGTTTATTAAGCACCTTCATGTGCCAGGTGCATATAGCATGTATATAAGATTCCTGGTCTACTTAATTATCTAAATCAAGGTTTGGCAAAAATTATCTGTAAAAAGTAAGACAGCAAATATTTTAGGCTTTGTAGACTAAGATGCTGAATCAAGAATATCATTTGGGTATTTACATCACAAAAAATAAAATAAATGTCTTTTTCTTATTTTTTCAAGCATTTAAAAATCTACTCTAA
This sequence comes from Homo sapiens, assembly GCF_000001405.40. Lineage (NCBI taxonomy): Eukaryota > Metazoa > Chordata > Mammalia > Primates > Hominidae > Homo > Homo sapiens. The sequence continues at coordinate 51,832,543 of NC_000010.11, forward strand.
GGGTGAGGGGAAATTTTTTTCCACCCTCTGTAGGTATGATAATTTTAGTTTCTGATAATTTTAGTCTCTAGAATAAACTGACAGTAAGTGAATTAACAGGAGAAAAAGCATGTACATTTTTTATGTGCATGTGCTTGAGAACATCACAAAATATAGCTTAAAGAAGGGTCCCATGATTGAATCTTAGACAGCAATTTGCATTACAGAAAGAAATAGAAGATTGGGGCTTCTCTGAAGGAGGTGGCAACACAAGCTATGGAATGGTGAGGGGAGGAAATGCATGATGATCAAATATTGTCTTATCGCACAGATAAAGTCTCTCTGGTACGGCCCTCAGAGGAATAGGTGAAAAGTCTATCTGGGTTTAATGCTCTAGTTATGGAAACTTTTAGTCCCTTCTCCTGTGATATGAATAAATCTTGCCTGGTTAATGTCGATTACAGGGAGGGGGTTCACAATTGAAAATAGAAATCTAGGGAGGTTTTAAGCAGTGTTTCTAGGCCCTTTTCTACTTAAATGATGTTGTGATTGTCTCCTTAAAGAAAAGGCTCATTGAATGCGGTGTATTAGTCATGAATGGCAACAAATCTGCCCACACAGGAGGGACCTGACTTGCTGAGTCATGCACTCAAAAGCAAGAAATGACAGACTGCAACTGGAGTTGACAAGAAAGGGCCTTGTATAAAGGTGTCCTGTGAATTGAGCAGGACGAGTGAGGTTGCTGAGTGACGTAAAATTTCATTGGTTCTCAGTAGCTAGGCGTTTGAAGAACCTCAGTAGGGATAGTCATTGAGCATATAGTAATCATCACTCCTCTCTGTTGAACTCTCAGTGCTTGCCAAGCTTATTGCATAGCTAGTTGTAAACTTCTAATTTTTCACAACAATGCTGATAGGTATGTATTATTCCAAATTTATAAATGATGCAACTGAGGCTCAGCAAAATTAAATCATTTCCAAGGTGACACATTTATAGGTAGTAGAGCTGCATGGAAACGTGAATCTTTATTTATTTTTATTTTTAATTGACAAATAATAATTGTATATGTTTATGTGGCACAATGTGATATTTTGATACATGTATACATTGTGGAATGACCAAATCAGGACAATTAGCCTATCCATCACCTCAAATATTTATCATTTATTTGTGGTGAGAACATTAAAAATTAACTCTTTTAGGTATTCTGTAACATATAATACATTATTATTAATTACAATCACCTTGCTTTGCCACAGAAGCCAGAACTGATTCCTCCTATCTAACTGAAACTTTTACTTGTTGACCAATGTCTGCCCTTTCTCTGTCTACCTTCTTTTCCTCCACTCCAGCCTCTGGTAAACACCATTCTACTCTATGCTTTTATGAAATTGGGTGTTTTAGATTTTACATATAAGTGAGATCATATGGTCTTTGTCTTTCCATGCCTAGCCTGTTTCACTTAATATAATGTCCTCTAGGTTCATTCAGGTCATCACAAATGACAGAATTTCCTGTTTTCTTTTTAGGGCTAAATAGTATTCCATTGTGTATAGGGCTAAATAGTATTCCATTGTGTATACAGACCACAGTTTTCCCCCTTGGATTACTTATTTTCTTGTACTTTAGTCAGACGCTTCCCCAAATGTGTTTCAATCTCCATAATGGCCTCTTTTCCAAAGAGCTGAAACTGTGCCCTGCCTCTTATCATCTTTATGATACCTCCTGCCCTCTAACATAAAATATTTTAAAAATAAATACTGAAACAAGAACTTAGATGAGTTTTGCAAAACAGAACTGTGTTCTAGGCCTAAATTTATTGAAAGTAAGGGAGGGGGGCAGGTGCCATGGCTCACACCTGTAATCCCAACAACTTTGGGAGGCCGAGGCAAGAGGATCTCTTGAGCCTAGGAGTTTGAGACCAGCCTGGGCAACACGGAGAAACCCCATCTCTACAATATATACAAAAATTAGCTGGATGTGGTGGTGCATGCCTGTAGTCCCAGCTACTTGGAAGGCTGAGGTGGGAGGATTGTTTGAGCCCCAGAGATTGAGGCTGCAGTGATTCATGAGTGTGACACTGTGATACTACACTCTAGCCTGGGTGACACAGTGACACCCTGTCAAAAAGAAAGAAAGAAGGAAAGAAAGAAAGACAGAAAGAAAGAAAGAAAGAGAGAGAGAGAAAGAGAAAGAGAAAGAAAAGAGAAAAGAAAAGAAAAAAGAAAAGAAAGGAAAAGAAAAGAAAAAAGAAAAGAAAAGAAAGTGAGGGTATGAAAGAGCAATGAGTCTATGGGGGTACGTCCACACCCAAGGTCATCACATTGCATGGGGCAAGTGAGATGGAAAAGGGTCACTGAGTCTTGGGGCCTCCAGAAACATCAGAAATTAATTGATTTATCAATTGGGAAAGTCTTAGAAAAATGTATAAAGACATATTGTCTGTACATAGGAGGCATTCACTTCCCCTCAATGTAGACTAAAAAAAGATGAAAGAAAGCCCATAAGCCCACATTAACCAAACGCACACACATGAGAAACTCCAAGTGTCCAGATTAACACCCTCAGATAGGCACTTGGTGTTTTCAGCTCTGGGGCTGGAGAGAAGATTATGGGGCTTTGGCTTACAGAGACAGAAGCTTCTGTCCCCAGAGAGGGGACAATAGCTTCCGAAGTCTCTGGCAAGTGATCTGGCAGGTGGTACTTGACAAGCTGGATGGGAAGGAAGTGCTGTTTTGAAGAAGATTCTCCCCTCCTTCCATTTCACCAAGACAGTGACTTGCAGAAAGTTTGTGTCCTATGCATTTCTTGAATATAGAGGACTGGCATTTCTAAAGAGCACATCTCTGAAGGGACAGATGCTGGCCATTTAAATGTGGGCTTTGCATGTTGTGAACTGACTGGTTCTGTGCAGTAGGACTAGGTCCAGTTTGCTATTAACAGTTGTATTTGCAGAGCCCAATACTCTCTCTGGCACTTAGTACGCACACAACAAATGTTTGCTGAATGGTTGAATAAAGTAATCCAGAATGAAAATATCATTTCCCCATGAACATAAATTATAACTTTTTTTCATTGGTTATCAATTATATCACATTTTAAAATCCTTTCTTCTGTTGACAGACACTTGTTTCCATATCTTGGTTATTGCGAATAATGCTGCAATGAACATGGGAGTGCAGACATACATCTATTTGTCATATGAATTTCAATTCCTTTGGATATATACCCATTAGTGGGATTGCTGGATCATATGGTAGTTCTATTTCAAATTTTTTGAGGAACCTCCATACTGTTTTCTATGATGGATATAGTAATTCACATTCCTGCCAACAGTATACAAGGGTTTTCTTCACATCCTCACTGATACTTGTTATGTTTCATGTTTTTAATAATAACAAATTTAACAGATGTGAGGTGACATCTCATTGCGGTTTTAATTTTCATTTCTCTGTGATTAGAGATGTTGAGCATTTTTTTTATGTAACTGTTGCCACTTGTATATTTTCTTTTAAGGAATGTCTATAAATACTCTCCTGAATAGCAAAAACAATCCTTATCAAAAAGAATTAATCTGGAAGCCTCACACTACAATATTTCAAAATATATTACAAAGCTACAGTAATCAAAATAGCATGGCACTGGCATCAAAGCAGACACATCAACCAATGGAATAGGATAGAAAACCCAGAAATAGATCCACACATCTATGGTCAGTTGATTTTTGACAAATGTGCCAAGAACACACAATAGGGAAAGGGCAGTCTCTTTAATAAATGGTATTGGGAAAACCATTAATAGATATCCAGTGTATGATTTGCAAGTATTTTCTCCAAATCCATGGATTTTCTCTTCACTTTATTGTTTTCTTGGCTGGCAGAAGGCTTTTTAGTTTGTTGCAATCCCATTTGTCTATATTTGCATTTGTTGCCCGTGTTTTGGGGTCATATCCAAGAAATCTCTACCCAAAGCAATGTCATGGAGCATTTCCCATATGTTTTCTTCAAATAGTATTCCAGTTTAAGGTTTTACGTTTAAGTCTATTGTTTATATTGAGTGTATTTTTGCATAAGGAGTGAGACAAAGGTCTATTTTCATTCTTTTGTATGTGGATAAGGGGTATACACTATCCAAAATATACATACACTATCCAAAATATACAAGGAACTCAAAATATCCACTAACCAAAAAACCCTCAAATAATCCTATTAAAAATAAACAGAAGATGTGAATAGATATTTATCAAAAGAAGAAAAACATAAGTCTTTAACTCAAATCTCATGACCCTTTTAATATATCATACTGCTGCTTATGCTACTGAACAATGACCCAGAGGGTTGTGTTGAAAGGGTGCACGGAGCATTTTAAAAAAATTGCTTTAGCATTGTTTTGCTTGTGAGATAGAGATAGTGTCACTAGTTGGAATGAATGCACAATTACAGGTATTTGATTCGTGGTCCCTGCATTCATTGAGTATACTTGGGAAATGACATGGATTTTTGAATTTAAAGGCTAGATGTTAAGCTACTGGAAAAGTATTGAGAAAATGCAATTCTTCTCACTCTTCTGCTATTGAGGCTTGGGGCCTAACTGCATTGAAAAGGAAGAAGTAAGTTGATTTTTCAGTTAACGTGATTGAACAGTTCAATTCAAATATAGAGATTGTCAAAGCACAGCCTACAGAAATTATTTGCTCCGAGGGTAGAACTTGCTTTGATATGGTAGTTAGTAAGTTTTATAAAGTTTTTTCTAAATAAAACATTTAGAGTAAAGTTCTCAAGTCTTTTGAATATGGCACTTAAAAAAATTAAATAGCATACTTTATTGGGCATTGAGAAATACAGTTTGGAATATGAGCAGAATTTTACTAGTTTCAGATACTTTATGTTCTGAAACTGTTTACCTTTCTGGTTTCATCTCTTGCTGTTTGCTACCACACATTTTTTTAAATTCCTGCCATAAACCTTATTTCCTCAAATGCATACAGATTTTTCCTCTCCTGTGTGGCTTTGCCCTGCTCTTCCTGTTGCCTACTAGAACTTTATTCCCTCTCCATTGGGGTAAGGCCCATTGATTCTTCATCTACTCTGGAAATCCTTCGTGGCTAGGGTAGGGGGCTCTCCTTCATGATCTCATAACCTACATGCATTTGTCTCTCCAGTAGCATTTACCACACTGTCCGGATGTTTGCTTTCTGCTTTTCCCACTAGGATGTAAATAGTTTGAAGGCAAAGACTGTATCTTTTGTCTCCATAACCCAATGCTTGGGCCCTAGTATACTCAGAGCAAATACTGATTAGATGGTTTAGGATACTAAGGTTTATTTGATTTGCCTAGTGATATATTTTCTCTTCTAATTCACCCAACTTTTTGCTTTTCTGCAAACTTTTAAATATTGGGCTATCATAGTAGAGAGAAAGTTGCTGCATCCATTGTTCGTCAAGGATGAGTCTCACTGCATCAGTGAGACTTTTGACACTTTAGTCCTGACTCTTATCTGGGAAAGTCTAAAGCCAATTTACTTAACTTGCAACTCTCTTTGTGATCCATATCAATACAATTCATTAAAAAATAGTAATAGTTTAAAACACTTATCAATAAAAAACAGATTTAAAAGTGATTTACATACAGCTAATAATTAGGCATTTTTAGGAAAATATTTAAAATATAACATTCAAGGGTGTATAGCTAAGTTTTAATAATATATGTGCTCATGTATAGTGATCTAAAGATTTTCTCTGGTTTTCAATCCAAGAGTTATTTGTGGTTGTTTTGTTTTTGTTTTGTTTTATCTAGAGCCACTCAATGTAGCTAAATAGATCCAGTTATATATGTTCTTTCACATTTGTGCTAATAAGCGAAAACAACATTTAAAAGCCATAGAGAAAAGGGCAGAAAATCTAAACATGAATAATGAAGCCCTATAAAACCTCTGGGCAGTTTTAGCAGAGTTTCCGAAAGGAAGTGTCCTCTGGGACTCAATCAAATCTCCTGTACTTATTTTTAAAGGGAGCTTCCTTTTTTAAGTCAAAGATAGAAATAGTTTTACTTGGAAAGTGTCCTGCAGGTGTAAATTAGCAGACTAACTCCCTGGGGCTGAAATGTCTTCCTTATCTTCTTTGTTCTTTTTGTCTTTAGTAATGAAAGCAGAGATTGTTTTGGGAATCCTTTTTTTCTGCCTAAATTCTTGGAAAGCTTAAGTTTGAAAGCTAGTAGGTCTAGGAATTTTCTAGGCTAATGAGAAAAAAAAAATCACGCTACCCCTAGGGCTATTGTTAGCCTAATGGGAAGTGATGGGAAATAAAAACAACCAAGTTCGTTCTGAGGCAAATAAATTTGTTAAGTGCTGAGATAGACCAATTTTTCCAGCCAAAACTGGGACTTATTACTGTATAATGGCCCATAAATTTAGCTGTATAATGGCTGTATAATGGCACATACATTTTAAGTTTAATATTTTGAAGGCAGATTCAAGAAACTGACTGTAATAAGAGCATTCTGGTCACATTGATACAGCCTGCCAGAGTGTAAATAGGCTCTGCAGCAGAAATGTGTCAGAAATGTAGAAACTGACATTTCAGGACTGCCCCCTTAGACCATTACCATAAGGAAGAGCTACTTTATTATTATTTTTTTAACAGTTGGTTGAGCAGAGGTTTTCAGAATTAAAATGATTTTGAAATAAAGATGAAATGTGCATGGTTATTTTATTAAGTGCATATTTGTTACTGACCTCCCAGCTCATTTCTGCACTCAGTTTCCTGTTGCTGTACTTTTCAGAGTTTCATATTCAAAGTGACAGTGGGAACATTTAGCGTAGAAGCCAACAAATAAATATGTCTTCTACTTCCCCCATGCCCACCCCACCTCTACCATGTTGAGTTGGAAACATTTAATTCAGTGATTTGCACAGGGGACAATTTCAAAGCTTGTATTTAGAATAAGAAAGTGGCTGAAAAGGAAATGTTATGCTCAATAGAAAATTATGACTCACTGATTTTGCATATGGGTAATATTTTTGAAAGACCACTTATCTTTTGGGAAGTGTGTGAAACTGACAGGAATTATATTGAAAACCAGCCAGATAGCCATGATAAGCAGGAACCTGACTTTGTTTTGGATATGCAGGGTTCTCGATAATCGTAGTGGTTTACTAACCAATATTCTACAGGGAAGAATTATTCTTTACCTTATGGCAGAAGCATGCCTTCCTATGGAGGTCGTTCTTTAGGTGAAGTAACAGGAACCATCTACTATAACTTCTCACTGACCCAGTCCCATGAGGGCTGCCCCAAGGTAGGTGAGGAATTGCTCCCCAGTATTAGTTACCCATTTGAATACAATTCATTTCTACCAACAGCAGTTTTCTCCTATTTTTCCTAGAGCATGCAATATCTAAGTTTAGTTTTTAATTCTTGAGGATGCCATTTTAACTAATGGAGTTCAGTAAGTGACAGCCCTGTTTTCCTCCCAGGCATTTCAAATCTAGTTTTAATTTAGATCAGCAGTTCAGGAGCAAATTATTTGCCAAATGCAGGTGGCAGACCGTTGCCTTTCTCCCTAATGTCCATCTGTGGAGCACTTTGAGACTTTTCTAAAATGATGAATTGATATGTCTGTTGGGAAACAGCTTGTTACCCAGAACAGTGGTGTACATAAATGAGAAGCCTGCACACTGCAACAGAGACCACAGGTGGTATTCATAATAAGGCATCTGTGGATGATGTTAAGGATTTTTGAAGCTATTTGATTTTTTTTTTCTCTTTTCAACTAAGGGTTTTCTTGCTTAGCTAACATTTCATTTTTTAAAAGATTTGTTGTGTTCTTAGAGGTAATGCCTTTACAATTTAAATATGTCCAAGAATCCTTTTTATTCTGATACTTTTTACAGTCACGAATAGGCTTAACAACTGATATGGATCATGCAGGTTCTCAGGAGACTCAGAATACAACTTTTGTTTTGTAATGCCACCTATGTCTTTATTGAACCCTCTATTTTATTTATTTATTTATTTATTTATTTATTTATTTATTTATTTATTGAGACAAAGTCTCCCTTTTGTCACCTAGGCTGGAGTGCAGTGGCGCGACCTCAGCTCACTGGAACCTCTGCCTCCTAGGTTCAAGCAATTCTTCTGCCTCAGTCTCCCAAGTAGTTGGGATTACAGGTGTGCACCGCCATGCCTGGCTAATTTTTTATTCTTAGCAGAGACGGGGTTTTGCCATGTTGGCCAGGCTGGTCTCGGACTCCAGCCCTCAGGTGACCTGCCCGCCTTGGCCTCCCAAAGTGCTGGGATTACAGGTATGACCCACAACACCCGTCCCTGAACCCTCTATTTTAAAGAGAAACAAATACAATGAAGAGTCTATAACACTTATAAAAAACAAACACTAAATTTCAGTCAATAAGCAGAATAATTAAAATATAGGGTTTTATTTTTATGGAATACAGGTTATGAATCCCAGGATTTCAGAGTTGGAGGCATCTGAATCAGATCACCAATAGATGAATGATTTCGTTTTCTTGTCATATAGCCATTTTGTACCTACTTAAATTCTTCCAGTGATAGAAAACTTATCTCTTCTAAAATAAGCTCATTACATTTTTAAAATGCCTCCTGGCCTCTTTGTAACTTTATCTCCAGTAAGTCAATCTCTCTCTCTCTGTCTCAATCTCTCTCTCACTTAAGAGTGATTCCTGTGTGATTTAGTTTATTCATTCATCATTTATTGAACATGGACTCTGTGCTGGGCACTGAACCAGGTTTCAGGACTTCATGGATGAAGAAGACATGGTCTATTTTTTCAAACAGTTCATAGTCAAATGGGAGCAACAAAAAAGGAGAAACGAAAAATTATAGTACAGTGTGATAAATGCCTTGTTAGGACTAAGCATGAAGTGATACAAGAACATATTAAGAAAGCACATAGCCTGGACTTGTGGAATATGGGTAGGCTTTCAGGAGGAGGTGAAATTTCAGGTCAGTCTTGAGGAATGAACAATGAACTAGAAATATTAAAAATGCATAAGATTTTTAAAGAGAGATTTTTAGAAATTCTGTTTTCTTGTGCAGTTGAATTTTCTAATTTATTCAGAAATGTCATGAATTCATGCTGTGACTGAATTTGTTAAAAAAAAAAGACCAAAATATGGTTTTTATGTGTTTTTTTTCATTTTTGATACAGAGTCTCGCTCTGTCACCCAGACTGGAGTGCAGTGGCGCGATTTCAGCTCCCTGCCACCTCTGCCTCCCAGGTTCAAGCGATTCTCCTGCCTCGGCCTCCTGAGTAGCTGGGATTATAGATGTGCACCTCCAGGCCTGGCTAATTTTTGTATTTTTAGTCAAGATGGGGTTTTACCACGCTGGCCAGGCTGATCTCTAACTCCTGACCTCAAGTGATCTGCCCGCCTCAGCCTCCCAAAGTGTTGGAATTATAGGCATGGGCCATCGTGTCTGGCTGGCTTTCATATTTTGCAATGAAGTATAGAGTCTTGGATTTCAAGGCAGATACTTCTAGAGGCTTTGAAACTGTCCAGATTCTCAGCTAACACAGATGGGATGTTGGTCAGTTGGATTCCCTCGCTGGCTAAGTGGGTCTGACTTGACTGTCTGATTCATACTTGTCCTATGGGCTTTGAATGTGGTATTTTATTTGATCCTCATAGGAGTGCTTTGGGGTAGGCACTACAGTCAGCATTGCATATCATTATTCTGGGATCACCAGTTACAAATAAGTGAAAACTGTCAATCTGGGATTGCTAAGGTAAAACAGTATGATACTAATTGTATGAAGGTAATACTCTCAGCTGATGACTGAGTGTTATGAGGACACATTCTCTGAGATATCATCCAACTTGCATGTAGCTTAAACTAATGGAAGCAGACCATTTGTTACACTACACGATGACTGAATGGTGGCAAAGAAGACCCTCCTATTCAGGCTTTCAGCTACTTTTTTCCTTCTGATCCTTATGTGTGGTTCCTGTGGTCTTGGTCAGTATCAGCAAACATGTTTAGTGACAATGTGTTACCTGTTACTTCTCTATGCTATAAGAAACAAAGGACCATGCTTTTCATGTGAGTGGAATTTAGCACTCATTTTGATATTGCCACTAGAATTTTATGTTAGATAACAAAATTATGTGTGTATGTATGTGCATACTATATGTGTATATGTATATTCATATATATGAAGCCCTTTAAAGTGTTCATTTGCTTTTCTCAATCTGTATCTATTTATCTAACTAGTGTATGTCATATAGTATATATTATGCAATATTATAAAAGAAATTATGCCTGTCAATTATAAGAAATTATATATTTGTAAGAAATTTTGCCTGCAATTAAAAATATTTCTTACCTAGTGTTATATTTAATGCTTACTCTAAGAAATGTGAAACAATTTTCTATTTTCATAAAAAAATAGAATATGAACAGAACTTTGTTTAAAGCTTTGGCACATTTTGAGGTCAGATGGTCATTATGAATATAGTACAGATCATCACTAAATAACCTATAGATGTAAATTTTTCACTAAATTTATTTTTATTTAAATTTAGGAAAATTATTCTTTTTTTTTTTTTTTTTTTTTTTGAGACGGAGTCTTCTGTTTCACCAGGGTGGAGTGCAGTGACGCAATCTTGGCTCACTGCAACCTCCACCTCCTGGGTTCAAGTGAGAAAATTATTCATTTTTAATGTAAAGTGGAATATTAGTGTTATAAGAATAATTTGTTTTATATATTAGAAACATTTATTTGATGTGCTTTTCTTTCTCAGAGAAAACAAAGAAAGTTCATGTGATCAACACAAGTGTGTCAAGATGGTCACCTCATTTGCGTTGGGGTATACCAAGTCAGGCAGTAGCAATTTTGTTGCCTTAGTGACCATTTAGAATCTAGTTTAATAGCCTATGTAGGCAGCTTAATATAGAAGGCTTGTTTTCAACATTATGTCCTCAAGCCAGTCTTGTGACTGATTGAAATAAATTTTTGGAGGAAAAAGGCAGGTCAAGTCTTAAAGAACAGCAACCACGTTCTTCGTTTAGCGTTCAGCTTTAATGTCACCTGTTTCTCTGCCACACTGAAGTAACAGCTATGCTCACTGCTGCACAGGCATAGAAGAGCATGGTATTGCCTGGCTTTCAACAGGGAATTCCAACTCTAATTCTTCATGCCACCATCATCTCTTAACTTGTGATCCTACTTGGATTTTTATGTATACTGAATTATTTCCTTTTACAGAGAAATATTAAATTTGAAACAAAATTATAGTGTATTTGCTAAATAGGTCCATGGAAGTCCCATACCCCCACACACACATTTTAGTTTCTGCCTTTTTTATTGTTCCACTTAAAACGAGCTTCTTTTTCCATTTGAGAGAAGTGACTGAGTCAAGAAAAGAAGGCATGAATAAAGAATTCAGGGAAGAAAATGATGTCTTCATGTTCAATTATTATCAGGAGTATACATAGTACTATATTCATAGAATTTGCTTGTGGCAAGCAAATAGATCTAAGTGAGTTTTTTCCTTATTATTCTCAGAAATGAGTTTTTCTTGTTGTCTAGTGTTTTTTATTTTTATTTTTGTCAATGCATCATTTGACAGAGGGGAAGAAGAATGAAAAGAATGACATATTTTCAAGATTTTCTGTCAATGCTGATGGCAATCATGAGCCATAATTCTAATGATAGGTTTCTGAGGAGTGAATAAGAGACTATTAAACGTACTTGATGACTTTAAGGTAACTTCTAATTACAGAAATGTCAAAATGTGAATAACGTGTTCATCTTACAAGTGAAAAAATATGGAAATTAAGAATAAAAATTATACTAGTAAGAGGGTTGAAAGATTAAGAGGAGAATGAAAATATAATTCATAGAACAGTTGCTATTATTATAATTTTGACCTAATGATAAAATTTGTGGTTTTAAAAGTGTCTCACAGACCTTATTTGCCTATTACTAACTTTAATAGATTATACTTATAGTGGTAATTAGGTTAATTAATTTTAAATCACATTGGTTATTGCCTCTAGGACAAAATGGGTGTTTAAACCTTAAGTTTGTATAAAAAATGATTTGACACTGAAATCAATCTACTTTTATTAGCTTCTGGCAGCAAGAATAGATGTGGTTTACTAACAGCAATAATGAAAGAGCATCAAACTTTGATAAAAATTCTGAAGGAATGTCAGGGGCTTAAAACTGGGCAGGTCAATAAATAGCCAAAAAGTTAAATTCAAGATCAAGACTACACTGGGAGACAGAGGGAGGTGATGTTGTATCAAAGACAAGAACAGGAATTCACACAGTCCGACAAAAATGAAGTATGCTGAGAAAGTTGCCTTGCCAGTGGATTATTGGTCCACAGTAAAATATCTGACAGTGCTTTTTGAGGACTCCAAATTCTTTTGATGAGACTGGGTTAAATTTCAGTTATATCATTGTATTTTATTTTATTGATTATTCTGTTTTTATCTGATTCTTCTGTGTTAATGTAGATGTGAAAAAATTTCTAAATTGGCTTTATGTAGAAATGTAAATGTCTGGTTGGCCAGCTACCTCACCTGACCTCAAAATATCCTTGAGGGCTCTCAGTATATCCTTTTTGTGGGTACATTCCTCATTCAAGTCTGGCAAAGGACTGCTTTCCCCAAGATAACGTATGCTTTCCAACTTTCATATTTTTTTATGTTCTGCATGTCTGGGATGGCCTTTCCCTCTTCTTGCTGTCTTTCCAGATTTTATCTTTCCAGATGTTATCCTCCTCCAAGACTTTCCTTAAGCACCACCTCTTGTGTAATGCCTTTCCCGATTACTCTATTGAAAAGTCTCTAAGGAATTAATTATCAATATTATATTTTGTGCTTCAAAGTGTTGACATTCTTCATTAAAAGCAACACCACCAACAACTGTCAATTTGAATCTTGACTTTACCACTTCTTAGTTTCCATAGGTTTTAGAAAGTCCTTAACCCATGGTTTTCTCATATGTAAAATGTGGACATTAAATTGATAGCCTTGTAGAAAATTGGTATGAAGATGAAATAAACTTGGCATACAAATAAGTACCAAAAATAAGAAATTTTATTATCACCAATATGGCACTTAACATCTCCAGACTTTTTTTATGTGTTAAAACTACAGCATTGTCATCTTATGGACATGTTATGTGGTTTACGGTATAATCTCCCTTCTTATAATAAGATTAATTCTCTACCACATGTGTAAACTAGCTTTTTTTGGCAAAGGGTTGTCATACTTGCTAATTTTAGTTTTATACTACCTTCAATATACATAATACTTTATAGTTGATGAACTATTCCTCAGTGTTACATGTTTGAGGTCCCCACATTGTCCTTTACTGAAAGTTATTTACATATATTAATTGAATGATACAGTTCTGTCTGATTGAGTGTTTCTTAGAAAAGCTTTTAAAAGTGTGGATTTACTATTGTTTTTCACCTTTATGTCTTATTACTGCAAATGCAAAGTCATATACCCTTAATTTTGAACAACATATAAGAACCAGCTCCCCCAAAATGGGCAGCCAAATGCCCCCACATCTACCCAAACAGATGTTTAGATGTTAAAGATGTCTAGGAATAAATTCTGCCTGGGATTATTGCTAATAAAGTTCATAGAAACAACCATACCTTCTCATGTAGGTTGTGGTTCTCCATCCCTTCGTAGACCAAAACCTTTACCTGATGAGCAAAATAGAAAACTGTTGTTTTGCTTCTGTTTTTGCTCTACTGATGAAGAACTAACAAACAGTAAAACAACCAAAGAAAGGAAAACTAATAATTTGAACCAATCCTTGATTATATGTTTAACTCTGGTGGAGTTTCATGATATAAATTGATGTTAACATAACCTCATAACTCAACTGCTATATTGATCATGACCTTCGCCATCATCAAAGAAATAAAAGAAAATGGTAATAGGACAGTGGCAGAGGTTCTACTAAATCTATAATGCAACCATTTGTTTACCTTAACTCCAGTCCTTCAAAAGGATCAGAGGCTTCTAATTGCCTTTTTCTGCCACTATATTAATATGTATAGACAGTGTATTGATCTTCTTTCTGTATTCATTGGTATTCAAGGAACATGATAGCTTGTTCTGAATACCTATGAATGTTAGAAAATGTCAATGCCGGTGCCCACTCTCAGCAGAGATATCCATTCACTTTTGCTGGGATTTAATTCTGTTGCCTCTTAATTGCTTGAAGATGTTTTGAGGATACAAGTTTAAACTGAATCATTTTTTTTCAGCAGGTTAATTGGACAACAGTATTCACTTTGTAAGTGAATGGATTTGATCCTCGAATGGGAATATCTATCTTGAAATTGGGTTATAAATTAATTTGCAATAATATTATTTCAGATAGCATAAAAATATATACATCAAGTGCTGCTAAAATCAGTGATATGAATTCTGAGTTCAGAGAGCATCTTTAAAAAAATAAAGTAGATCAAGTAGGAGGCTGGATGGGGAAGGTAGGTGAGACAGTCATGAGAGCTTTATTCTAATAGCAGCTCAGCTGCTCACTGTCATTTAATGGCATCACATTCCTTGGCCTCCCTGAATCTCAGGTTTTAATATTTAAAATGAAGGCAGGTGCTGATGATCTATGATGCTACTCCTAACTCTAACATTTTGTGTTTCTAATTTCCAAAAGAATTTAGTCAATATAGAAATACTTTGTTACAATTTACCTGCCATTATGAACTAAACAATGCTACTTGTCACTCAAAACCACAAATGCAAAACGAGTGATGATTGAAACTGAAAGCAAATATGCGTATAATCTCTCAAAAAATAATAAGTTTTCTTGTTACAGAATAAGGGAGTGATTGGCAGGGAAGCTGATTATTATAAGCCTATTTCATGATTTTTGAAGTAGAAAATGAACCTTTTTTTATATCTAAATGTGATGACTTACTAAAATCTAAAATGAGAAAACCAATATATGTAATTACTCATTGCAAATGATTCTCCAGATGATTTAAATAAAATTTTATTATATATAAAGCATATTAATTAATTAATGATCTATTGACAGCATTTAACAATGATTTTTTTTTTCTGTAGATTGGCTAAATTTAGTGATTCTAATTCTGTAATTTAACATCATAATGACAGTTTTTTTCTCCTCTCTCACCATACACATGGAAACAGTGAGTTAAAAGACTAAACTCTAAGTTGAGTGTGGTAGTGCATGCCTGTAGTCCCAGTGGCCAGGGAGGCTGAGGTGCTTGAACCCAGGAGTTTGAGGCCAGCCTGGGCAACATAGAGAGACTCAAGACTCTGTTAAAAAAAAAAAAAAAAAAAAAAAAAAAAAAAAAAAAAGACCGAGAATCTGAACTCTATTCTCTTGTCTAAAGCACTTTTTTTCAAGTTGTACATATACATTAAATATACTGTTCTATGCATGACGTTTCATGGTTTTTAAAAGTATTTACTACTTGCCTACCTCTGCGTCCCTCTAAATTTCCTTAGGCTTTCAGCAGTGTTGCTTTGGCAAGTGATAACCGGGGACCAAATGCTAGGAAACTCCCTAACATAACAATAGGAAGCATTCCAAAATACAGCCCAGCAAACAGTGGATACACCACATGCCTCCTGCTAGATTTCAAAGATGTATGTGTTAATTACAACAGGTATTGCAAGTTGGATATTTTTATTCTTTTTTGCTAAATCCCCTGATTAGTGAGACTCAAATTGAAATTAAGATATATATGAATTTGGGGTTGGTATAAACATATTTTTAGATGTAACATGGAGAAAAAAATAACTAGTGAAATAAAAACAAACTCCACCTCCAAACCTTAGTTTCAAAAGCAGCCTATTTTATGGTTCCCGCACCCGTCTTTTTTGTTTCTTTTCAATATCATGATTAAAGAGAAGTAAATAAATGAACACTAACACTTGGACAGTTTTCTTATAAGCTTGTTCATATGTTGACATATAGCATTTCAGTCTTTACTGGTTCTCAGATGCCATCTAAACTTCTGTAAAATATGTTTTCATATGAATGTAGAATTATTTCCTAGAGACAGAAGATCATCAGGGAGTAGAGTTCCATTAATTCTGTGTGTCTGTATCTGTGTGTGTGTGTGTGTGTGTGTGTGTGTGTGTGTTTTATATTTTTATAATTTAGTAGAAATAAGATCTCACGATATTGCCCAGGCTGGTCTTGAACTTGTGGCCTCAAGTGATCTTCCTGACTCAGTCTTTCAAAGTGCTGGGATTACAGGTACAAGCCACTTCTCAGCCTATGTGTGCATTTTCCTTAAGCAAAGAGTCTATGGTTTGCGTTTCTATTTTTTTTTTTTTTTTAACACTTTCTGTTTCTCTGATTTCACCTTGTTCTGGTTCTCTCTATTCCAGTAAGACTACCAGTTCTTAAATGTTGATGTCATGATATCATTTTATTGCTAGAAACCTTGCAATATATTTAAACTACAAAATCATAGTTTAGGTCCTGTATTTTGTAGTATTTATAGCACTAAGCAACTTTGTCCTCAAACTAGCTAATGCTTCTTTTTATTTCTAAAAATATCTATTTTCTGCTTTATCCAATTATGTCTACTTAATGCTCTTTGCCTTCTAATCCTACCAAAACCCATTCCATATATCATCTTCCCATTCTTTAACCCACCTCTGCTTTTATTCTATTTAGTTAGTACATAGGGAAAAGAACATCGTTCTTGGAGCCAAACAGGCATGAGTTTGAATTTTATTTCTGCCACACAGTAAAGAAAATAATCTGGGGGGTTACCTAACCATTTGAAAAAGCCTTAGAATGGTCAGCCATAAAACGAGTATTAAGTGATTAAACGAATATCAAGGTACTCAATGAATATGGATTTTTCCTCCTCCTTTCTGCACATTTTTTATTTCTGGTCTTATCTTGATTCGCTGCAAAGTTATGTTTCCTTATCTCTCTCTGGATATGATTCTTACCTGATTACTCAGATTTGTTTTCCTTGAATCCATTTGCACTTTTTTTCTGGAGTTATCCAGAGATCTCTTCTATCCAATGGCCTATTAATTTTACACCAAAGTCCCTTTCCAGCCTTGTTTTGCACTCTACCTCAATGCAACCATCTTTTTCTCCAAACAATTGAATTTAATAATCACCAAATTCTCTTCTTACCTGATATTTCATGATTATTGTCATACTTTTAAAATTCTTCAGATTTATATTTAAATGAAATAATAATATTATCACTTATTTTATATACAAATATTCCTTTAGAAACCTAACTTTCAAACTTATCACATTCAAACAGGGGCAGACTCAGGTTTGATGGGGCCTTAAGCATACAGAATTTTAGTAGTTTTTTTAAAAAAGATCAAGGACACAAACTAGAAAGTCCAGACATAGCTCCATCAGTGGAATCAAGGTAGATGTTTTAATAAAATGAGTTAGAAAAACAGTCTAGTCATTTGGAAAGAGAAAAAGTTGAACAATACCTCACAGTGTACGCCAGAATGAATTTCAAATAGATAAGGATTTGAAAGTGTAAGAATGAAATAAAAATTAATAGAAGAAAACATTGTTCACTTGTTTTATAATCTTGAAGCCAAGAAGATCTTTCTACTTGTACCCCAAAGTTTATTGGCATAAATTTGACCACTTTCCAATATATATATTTTTTTGAGATGAAGTTTTGCTCTTGTCACCCAGGTGGGAGTGCAATAGCACGATCTCAGCTCACTGCAAACTCTGCATCCCGGGTTCAAGCGATTCTCCTGCCTCAGCCTCCCAAGTAGCTGGGATTACGGGCACCCACCATCACACCCAGCTAATTTTTGTATTTTTAGTAGAGATGGGGTTTCACCATATTGGCCAGGTTGGTCGCAAATTCCTGACCTCAGATGATCCACCTGCCTTGGCCTCCCAAAATGCTGGTATTACAGGCATAAGCCACAGTGTCCAGCCCATGTTGCAATTTTATATATATATATATGTATATGTATATGTATATATTTGCATAGAAAAAGGATACCATCAGCAAAACCAGAAGGCCAATAATAAACTGAGGGAAAACATTTGCATTACATATCATAAAGAGCAATCTCCTTAATATGTAAAGAGTTTCTTGAAATAAAGAAAACATACCTACAGCCTAACAGAAAAATGGGCAAAGGTCATGAACCAACAGAAAGCAGATAGTTTTTAAACGTATAAAAGATAAATAACCTCATTCATGATAAGAAAAATGCAAATTTAACACTATAGTGTTACACTATTTCTCACCTTTTAGATTGGTAAACATTCCAACTATGACAACATACTCTTTGACAATGTTGAGAGGAAACAGGTATTCTCATGCGTTTTAGATGTAAGTAAAAATGAAAAAAAGACTCTACTGGAGGGGAATCTGATAAGATCCCAAATGCTTTATAGGTATCTTTACCTTTGATCTAGCAATCCTACTTCTGACAATTTATCCTAAAGATATGGTCATGCCCCTACAAAATGACAAACGTGCTGGGATGTTTATTTCAGTATTTCAGTGCTTTTGGGACAACCCAGAAATACATCATTAGGAGATTAAATAAATTATGGAATACTATGCAGCTGTTAATAGATAATCAGGAAAAGGTAGCAAAAGGTAATATGCTACCTTTTGAATAAGAGGAGAAATTAACAGCATGTATTCATCCTTATTTGCTTAAATTTGCATAAAAAAGGACTGGAAAGATAAATAGTAAAAATAGTTACCTTTATTTAGGTCAGAGATTCTCAACTGGGAGACATTTAGCAATGTCTTGAGATATTTTTCGTTATTACAAGTGGAGTTTGTGGGTGGGGTTGTTGCTACTGGCTTCTAGTGGATATAGACTCATTGTGCTAGTAAGCATCCTTAAATGCACAGGACAACCTCACACACCCCACAAAAAAGAATCATCCAGCCAAAACCATCAACAGTGTTGAGACTGACAAACGCTTCCCTATGGGGAAGTAGGGCAATAAGGCCTATGGAGGTGATGGGCCAGGGTCAAGACTTCTCTGTGTATATACTTTTTACATTATTTCTTTGATTCATTTAAATGTATTACCTATTCCAAAATTAATTTTAAAGAACTATTAAAATGTCAAGATTTAGAACAGCAGTTTTTCTTCATTCTCGCTATAAATTTTAGTAAGAATGAATAGCAGGTATGCTTAAAATGCTTTGACATTTTTCTCTAATGCAATGCTCTTCTGGATATGAAGGAACTCAGTTGAGATGCTGATAATGTTCTGGACACTCACGTACATTTTGCTACACAGATACCAAGGTTGGCGAATAAATTAAAAGCTAGTCCATTAGATTAGTAGGACCTGCCATGAGTGCTGTCGTGGGAAGGATTCTGCAGGCTTTTGTGGCCTTAGCAGTAAAGACTGCCATGATAAATTAGTGATGCTCGCCATGGTCAAGGGATGGAAAGACATAGACACATGTTTCAGGCACCTGCCATCTTTGATTTATGCAACCATATCGGCAGGCTCTTTATTATTTTAACATGTTGGAGAAAAAAACAATGTTTAGGCAAATCTAAGTTATATAGATAAAACTTAGACTTATATATATATTTACATATGATATATATATAAGTTTAGGCAAATCTAAGTTATATATAACATATATGTTATATATATAAGTTTAGGCAAACCTAAGTTTTATATGTGTATATATATATATATACACACACACACACGTCATATATAAAGTATATATATGTAATAACTTAGATTTGCCTAATACTGTTTTTTCTCCAACAGGTTGTGTGTGTGTGTATATATATACATATACACACACACACATACATAGATATACACACACACACACATAGAGAGAGAGAGAGAGAGAGGAAACAGAGGTAGAGGTGAATAACAGAATGCTGTTGCAGCTGCAGGTCCTGTATTGCTAACATATAACCAAGCAATTGAGCTCTAAAACATAGCAGCTCCATGTGGTAGCTGGTGACATGTACATCTTAGAGATGAAAGAACTGGAGTTCACATAGTTGGTGAGTACCTGAGCCAAAAGTGAAACTCCAGTCTGTCTGATCCAAAGCCTGTCCTTGTTATTATTCCTTGTAGTTCAACCTATACACATGAGCATATATAAGAATACTGCATATATACCATATAAATTAAAAATCCACCAGTTTTCTAAATTCTGAGGGAATTAAGAACAAATACTTTGATCCATGAGTTTCATCAGATAACTTCTTGTCATCTGGCACCACAAAATTATGTATTTCAGATGTTTGTGAACTTGAGTAACTTTGCTTTTATATGTCCCTAGATATTTTAATTTAAATGCATTTAAGCATAAAAAGAGAAGTGTTTTTTCTAGATGAGTTTTTATAAAATAGTTTACGATTTTATCAGTTCCTTCAAGACTGGCATATTATTTTTAAACTGTTAAGTATTTTGAAGCCTAAGGAAAATATATAATCTAGACTTCCCTCCCTCCATTAAACTCCCTCAAACTGGTGTACACATATACAAAACATGGTGATATATTTATGTTTTATAGATGATTGAAGAAAGTAAGGGCTAGTGATATCTGGTATCTTGTTTCAAATCATACTGCCTCTCTAGATCAGAGAAAGAACTAGTCAAATGTTCTTTCTAATACATCACCTGTGTACCCCACCACAGTACTGACGTGATGTTTTAGTATTTATTTAGTATTTATTACTTGGGCATCTATTATGTGCCAGAAACTATTCTAAGTTGTGTACAATGGATAGTAAATAAATATTCTTTGTGTGCCTAAACCTCAAAATGGAAACAAAATTACAAAGACATATCCAAATCCCAAATGAAAAATCAGTGTTTGGCATCTGCTATGTGTGGTTAGACTGCAGGAATATGTTTGCATAAACGAAAACACCTGCAGAATAAGGGAATGTCAAGGAAAAATAAAACACCCATTATAATCATAGCACACGTGGAGGAGTATATTTTATAACATTTTCAATTGTCTATTAGTACAGTGTGTACTTTAACATCCTTGAAAGACTTTTCCTTAGGCTGATAATTCTTTAGCAGACAGCAGTGTCTTCCTGAATTTTAGCAGTAGTAGCTTAAGTATGTTTGCAAAGAAAACAATAACCTTTCAAAATACTAAATAACTATATGCTATTTCATGGGATTTGGCATTTTATATCTGTGCTCTGCAGGCAGGCATCATATATATTTATTACCAAATGTGTGGTCTGGGCATTGTTAAAGTCTCAAGGAAAAGGCTGATTTGGGAGAGAAGCAGCCTCTACTGTACTAAACACTTTTCCACAGCTGGTTATCTAATCACACACTGGAATTTTATTGCCATTTTGTGGGTGTTTGTAAGTTTCCTGTTTTAAGCATTTATTCCTTTTTTCCAAGTGTTTTTTTTTAATTGTTCAACCAGCAAGTGGTAAAATGCAGACTTGCAAAATTGTTTTCACTTCAAAAAACAGCAATTGTTTCTACTAAATGTTCCCATGTATGGTATTTTGGAAGTCAGATGTTAATACTTCCTGGCCCCTCTATATAGAAATTTGGGGATTCATTAATGGGGAGCAAAATTGATGAGTAAATTTAAGTTTAAAATTTGATACACGAGTCATAGTCACTCAGTCATTTGGTCAACAGGCATTATTAACCTCCCTCTGTGTGGCAGGCATTTTTATTAAGGTAGAATACTTTAATCTTCCCTTTTTGATTTGACCTACTGGGATTTTCTAAAATGAAAAGAAAGACAAAAAAATAGCTTTGATAGAACCAGCTCACTGAGAAGACAAATCAGATAAGAACATCTGATTACATCGATATCTCTGTGCAGTGTTTGGGGACAGGGCAATATTTGTCTGTCACCCAGTAGTAAAGAAGGCATAATTCACATGATAATGTCACCCTGGAGAATTTACTGAGTTAGCAATAAATTGGAAATAACCGGTATTTTAGTCAATGGAGGAATGGTAACATAAATTATGTACTGTGAAATATAACACAACCATTATAAAAATCACAAGGCAGATCTCTATGTACTAAAATGAAAAGACAACCTCGTTATAAAGTTAAGTGAGAAAAAAAGAAGAAACAAGTTGCCAAAAATATGTAAGAAAAAACCTCACACCTACATAAGCATGAATTAGTTTATATAGGCTTAGAGAAAAGTCTAGGAGGATGTACACCAAACTAAAGTTAGCGTAATCTGGGGTGGTAGAGGAGAAACAAAATGTTTCCCCATTAAATTCTCACTGTTTTAAAAAATCATTTTGGTACAACGAGTTTATAAATTAAGAAAATAAATATAAATGTGCAAAAAATGTGCAAAAAATATATATACTGAGTGAAGGACTTGCGCCCACCAGCAGCTAAACAGAGTGCATATATGTGGTTTAAATAGATGAGAGAACTGGGAAGGGTGGAGGAAAATAGCACTGTGCCTGATAAATTTAGATTACTGCAAAGTGGATGAGTGTTAAAACCATTTTAAAGCAACTATAGCAAATAATAAATTGGTTTCTTAAATAGTGCAATTCGGTGATTTGAATTAATCATTCAGCATAATGTCGTAAAAGGTTATTATTCCTAAAACTTTTAGTAGCACATTGTTTGTCAGAGTAAGAAAAATGGTAATAGCTTAGACTTATTTCAAAGGATCCTGCTGTACTCTCTATCTTTCAGCCTAAATTAAAGTATCAGGCAAGGCTTGATTGAGTCATGACTTGTCCCCTGTCACTCATCTGGTCTGTTTCTGAGATAGTGTGTTTTATATCAGACAATCTGATTTTCTATTCTAGAGTAACTGGAGATCTTCTTGCTGGTGAAGGGTTGGAAAGAGGGAGACACATTTCCTCAGCAGCCATCTTAACATTGAGTTTAACAATTACATAGTAGTCCTCATGGTTTTACCAGTACAGTTTAGTTGAACTGCTGCTCCACTCTATGTGAACTGTGGCTACTGTGTTCTGGTGTGAGGAATGCAATTACTTCTATGTCCAGCACAATCATTCTCTCAGTCCAAGCAAGTCATTTGGCAAGCATGAAATTGAATTTGCTTCTAAATCCCAGGCAACAAATTATTTTCTCCTATTTAAGGGACCTCATTTTTCTTTCCATTTATGATGTTTTCACTTAAAAATAAGGTGACCAATTGTCTCTGGACTAAGGGATTTCCTGAGGGAATTTTAGTGCTACTACTTGGAAAATACTAAAACATAGACCATCAACAAAGTAAATTCCTGTCAGTTTTGTATCCAAGAAAAAAGCGTTTATTGGAAACAAAACAAAACAGAGAAATCCAAAGTGTATTCACTTCCTACTGCTGCTGTAACAAATTACCACAAACTTGACGGCTTAAGAAAACAAATTATTATTTTATAGTTCTGGAGGGAAGAAATCCAAAGTATGTCATAAAGTGCTAAAAATAAAGGTTCCAGCTGGGATGGTTCCTTCCAGAGACTCCAGGGAAGATCTGTTCCTTTTCTCTCCCAGCTTTTAGATGCTGTCAGCATCCCTTAGCTTCTGGTCACATCCCTTCAATCTCTGCTCCCATTGTTACATCACCACCTTCTGCCCCATTGACCCATAAGGACAATTATGGGGTCATTGCTTCTCTCCCATAAGGACCCTTGCAGTTACATTTAGAGCCCACCCATATAATCCAGGATAATCCCCCTATCTCAAAAGTCTTAATCACATCCACAAAGTCCCTTTGTTCCATATAAGGTAACATATTTACAGGTTCCGGGATTATGACATGGACATCTTTGGGAGGCCATTATTCAGCCAACTACCCCAGGTTAGAATTCTGCTCTGCCATTTTCTAGTTAGGCAAAGATGTAAGTATCCTTGAAGTCACATAACAAATATTTGTTGCTATTCACTGCAAAGCCGTTTGCTAATTTTGCATGGGAAGCCATAGAGTTAGCAGTTCATTGGGCTGCAGGAGTTCAAATTCTTACTCCAGCAGCTGTTAGTTGTGAGAATTTTGCTTATGTTAACTTAAACCTTTTTTTTGCCCCAGTTTCTTCTTCTGTAAGGTGGCCATTATAAGAGAACCCACTTCATAAGGCTATTGTAATGATATAACGAAGTATTAATATTGTAAGTGAAGAGCTTAGAGCAATGTTTGCCACAAAGAAAAGGCTTAGACATGGCCAGGCATGGTGGCTTACGCCTGTAATCCCAGCACTTTGGGAGGCTGAGTCAGGTGGATCACGAGGTCAGGAGATCGGGACCATCCTGGCTAACACGGTGAAACCCCGTCTCTACTACAAATACAAAAAATTAGCCAGGCATGGTGGCGGGTGCCTTAGTCCCAGCTGCTCGGGAGGCTGAGGCAGGAGAATGGAGTGAACCTGGGAGGCGGAGGTTGCAGTGAGCTGAGATTGCGCCACTGCACTCCAGTCTGGGCGACAGAGCGAGACTCCGTCTTACTAAAAAAAAGAAAAAAAAAAAAAGAAAGAAAGTAAAAAGAAAGGGCTTGGACAGCCTTTACTGCTGCTGCAACTTTGCAACTTCAATTGTGACTGGGTGTTCTTCTGATGGTCATACTCACAATTATGATACAGTTTAGCCTTTTCACATGTCATCTTTAATTAATTTTCACATTTCATTTGATTATTTTGGGGGTGAAGTTGATTTGTTTCTTTACAGATTTCTCTTTCCAGTGAAACTGAAGAGCTAGATAGATTAAGAATGCCTTGAGCCAGAGTAGTCTTTCTTCTAATGGATCGCCTTATTCAGAAAAGACTAACATTGTATAATAATAGTAGTTAATATCTTTAACACGTGGACAACTAATTCTAATACTAATGTTCATTTGAGTATGTGTTACTATTTTCAAAGCCTTTTTTAAATCTGTTATATCTTGTGATGCCAGCATAGACACCTGCTCGAGGACTTCAGAATCTCCCCCTCTCAGATTTCAGCAAACACTGATGGAGGGGGCTGTGGAGAAAGTAGACCATCCACCAGGAAGGGCCACACATGCTAATGAATAAGATTCTGAGTCCCATACTGTGATTTTCTTTTTCCTGCTGAGTGAACAGCAGTTGGGAATGGGGGAGGAGAAGAACTAATCAATCCTGGCTTTGTTTGCGTGTTATTTTATTTTATTTTTTTCCAGGGCAATCAGCGGAAGGGAAATAAACTGCTTATTAAAATGTTTAAAGCTGTACTTAAAGGCTTTTTCTTTAGAGCCAGCCAGATTTCTTTTTCTTCTCAATGTTTTTTTTCTTCTCTTCAAAGGTAGCAAAATGTAATCACATTCAGGGCACATAGTGGTTAGGGTGTTTGTGAAGCCAATGGAGAGAACGTCATTGTAAGCACTGTTCCCCCACCCTGAAGGACGGTGAAAACATGCTAAGCAGAAAAGTAACTTTATTTTTAGTGCTGAGGAAAAATAAAATGTATGGATGCTATTACCTAGATTCTCTATGTTGTTTTTAACACTGGTCCGCATTAGTGAGAAGCCTGTGTGTCTTTAAAGGCAGGAAAATCCAGATTTAATGGCATAAAAGGAAATATATATGCATATTATACATATATATAATATATATTATATATATACATATTATACATATATATAATATATATTATATATATACATATTATACATATATATAATATATATTATATATATACATATTATACATATATATAATATATATTATATATATACATATTATACATATATATAATATATATTATATATAATACATATTATACATATATATAATATTATACATATGTATAATTATACATATGTATAATATATATATGTATAATATGTATTATATATAATATATATATTATATAAAATATATATATTATATATAATATATATAAAATATATATATAATATATATAATATATATAAAATATATATATAATATATATATATAGTCTTAGTTATCATTACCTGAATAAAGTTCAGGATTTTCTTACAATCTCAGCAAAATATAAATGTGCTTTGATTTGAGCATTCTTGAATTCCTAGCCATTCAGGCATGAACATATTGCAGATTCTAAAAAAAAAACCCTATTAAAACATTTTGCACCTATAGTGTCATGTTGTAACTGGTACCATAGGGTCCTTTCACATGCCTGTACATTTTTGTACCTGTGCGTTTATTAGCAAACAAGCATTTACTGGGTGCCTGCCATATTCCAGGTGTGGTGCCACAGATGGTGAAGGAGGTACCTTCAAAAGGCCTTCTTACTCTCAAAATGCTTAAAGTTTTAATTCAATAAAGGCACTTTCAAACCTGCTCTGGGCTACAGGCTTTTCCCATTATGCCTTAAACACTTTTTCCCTGAATCGCTAATTCTAATGGATTAGAGGGTCTTTATCTCAATAGGCAAACAGTTTTTCTCCTGGACCCACCTCTGCCTTTAATATTCCTTTGATTTTTCTCCTTGCTTCCCAAGGAGCTGATATCAATGGGTATCTCTAACACAATGCACTTGTCTCAACCCCCAAAGTGGCCTGCTCGATAGAACAAAAGCTCCTGCTTATTTGAGAAAGTGATGAGGCCCAGAGGAAAGGAATATTTCTGATGTTAGATGTTGAATTGGGGATTTGGCTAATGACCTAGGGTTGGTTTAAATCCATAAATTTGATTCCCTTTAAATTGGCGTTCAAATGTGTATTTACACAGATGTTCGGAAGCCCTGAAGTGGGCTCCCTTCAAAGACTCAGATTCTGCATAGAATTATAGACATTATATACACCCA
Source organism: Homo sapiens (assembly GCF_000001405.40). Classification (NCBI taxonomy): domain Eukaryota; kingdom Metazoa; phylum Chordata; class Mammalia; order Primates; family Hominidae; genus Homo; species Homo sapiens. The sequence continues at coordinate 51,859,267 of NC_000010.11, forward strand.
CACCTGTGCAAACATGGCCGGGTGCTAAGGTATTAAACTCAGGTAAATAGTTAAAACTTCCAGTGGCACCTTAAGCCTTTTTCTTTCTTTTTTTTTTTTTCTTCATGTGAAGAGAGTAAGAGATCTTTATGTTTTTAGTCTGCAACAGAGCCTATTAAATGCCCCCTTTATGTGTTTCACTACATTAGGGGAAGACATACTTAAAAAAAAATAGATGCAGCCCTTGATCTGATCCTGACCACATCAAAAAAAGGAAAAAAGAAAGAAAATAAAAGAAAAAAAGAAACTCTGACACATGAACAAATAATTGAATATTACATGCCAAATTAACACTCTACCACAGATATTCTTACAAAAATGCACATGGCAATTACAGCATGCTACTTTTATCATCTGAAATGTTCTTACCACCCTACTCCCCAATCCCTTTTATCTTTACCTTCCAAACCTTCATTTCTCAAGGTCCATTAAAAATCCCATACTGCCCACCATGTATTCTATTTCCCATACAAAAAAATTCTCTTTAACATTCCACACTAGTTTGCTTGAATCGCTGTTCCAATACTTTTCATTGTGAGGTGTGGTAATTTTCATATATGCTTTATTTCTCCTACCACGTTTTAAGCTCCTTAGATCAGGGATATTTTCTTTGTGGGCCCTATTAGCCACTGGCATATAGCAAATACTAATCATATATAGTTCTACGTATGTTACATGTGACACCTTTTTATTCCTCATTCCAGATGAATTAGGTACTCGTGTCATCCCTGTATTACTGGGATGTAAAAGTTGCGGCAGACATAGGGGAAGTACATTTCTTCAAGTCATCCAAAAATAGGGTAAATAAGTACCCTAAAGGCATACATATACTAGGCAGTAGAGCTGGGGTTTGAATAGGTGTGCTCTTAATCATGAGACTTTTATTTCAGTCAAGAAAGGTAAGTTTGTACTTTCGAAAAAACAACCCTCAAAGTTTGTGGCTTAAAGTAAAAACACCTATTTGTCGCTCATACCTATGTGTCAATTGTGTTTCTTTGCTTCATGTTGTCTTCAAGCTAGGATCCAGCCTGAAAGAACAGCTATTTATCTGGAATATCATCAGAGGCTAGCTGTGTCAGCAGAAAAGAGAGCGTGGTGAATCACTTACTGGTTCTCAAAACTTCTGCCCAGAAGGAAGTGACACAAGTTATTTTTGTCCACATATTCTTGGCCAAAACAAGTCACATGGCCATACCCAGTTTCCAAACAGGGTGGGGGAGTACTGTGCTCCCGTTTGCCTAGAACATGAAAAGTCTGCACTACTTGGTGAGCATCTCTAATGGTTACACCAGCAGTACTGCTCCTACCTCTACCCATCACATCGTGCTCTAAGGTCCCATTCAGTTGCAACTCTCTTGGGGATGAAGGTTTGCTGAGGGATGATGTATTTGTGGATGTTTTTAAAAAAATAGAAATAAGGACTTTGTTGAACTTGGCAAAAATACCCAGTTCAGAGATTAGAATTGGAAGCAAGGATAGGCAGATCTGATAACTTGGACCAAAGCAAGAGGAGGCAGAATAATGGAAAGCATATAAGAAAAGGCTTTGGAGCAGGGAGGGTCTAAGTAATGGTTCAGCTCAGTAGCTGAATAGAAAGCTGGAGTAAATTTCAAAGAACCAAAGTGATGGCTGAAAAGAAAATATGAAAAGTGAAAGAAATCTCTTCAGAGCAGGAATTCATTCATGTATCACACATGTGTTGGGTACTCACTACATGCCTAGCAAATGAGCTAAGCCCTTTTACCAATATTTTTATGGCATTTTATGAGATAAAAAAAAAGTATACCCATTTTACAGGTGAGGGAGCTTTGGTACTCATTGAACATCACACAGCTGCAAAGTTAAGTGGCAAACATTCAAACCCTGTCAGTCTGGTGTCTGAGTTCAAATATGCTTAAACAAAGACCGCTGTCTAAGCTCAAATTCACTGTCTTATGGAAAAAGTCAGTAAGGGTAGAAAAATAGAATTTATGTAATAACAACATTTGTCAACTTGGATAGAGTTTTGCTTCTAGTTGGATCACAGATGTTATAAAATTTAATTGCTTGCTACTTCTCTACTCCAACAGTGTCTTTCTCAGCACTGTAACACAGCAGGTAGTTATAAAAAATCATTGAAGTTGTTACTATTTTTATATTTATTAGAACTATTATTTTTTTCATCAGAAATACCCGGGTCTATTACATTAGTTTTTTCTAGTGCTTTCTTTGGCTTGCAGTCTTAAGTAAATCATTCTGTTTTGTAATTTTGTAATAATGACAACTAGTCAGATCCATGCCTTACAGCAGCTCCTATATCTTTTTCATAAATTTCTCCAATATAGAAAATTAGCTATAGAATTACAAGTAACAGAACATATACTTCTTACTTTAAAAATAGAAATCTTTACGAGTTGTTTATGAAAACTATAGTGATTTTGAATAACAAATCATGAAAGTTTTTACTCAATTATAAATTTACACAAAAGTGTTTCTGTTGTCATCCTGACACAGGATCCTCTCAGTGCCCTTTTGCCAGCCGGAAACCTTCATGGCAGGTGGTGCCTCTGCCTGGGTTTTGCTCAAGCCTGCTGGACTCGTTCAACCCACTTGGCCCAACAGGCTGCACTTGGCTCACACTACCAGTCCTGATCTGGGCATCTGAGCCAGGCATGTGGCAAGTGGTTTCCATGTTGGGTGCTTGCATCTAGATGAAGGGAACGTGGTGGCACCCACAAACTACCAGCAACCACGGAGTCCCAAAGGGTGTTACAGCCCTTGTCTAGGGAGTCCCAAGGTTTGAGCCCCCAAGAAATGTTACAGTTCTGTCTCATTCCTGCTGCCCACAGTGTGGCAAACAATGGGGGAGAGGGGCATGTTATAGCTCATTGATGTTATAGCTCATTCATGTTACAGCTCATTTGTTCCCACTGCCCATAGCATGGCAAACAGGTGCATGTCACAGCTCATTTAGTCCTGGTGCCCACAGCTCAGTAAACGGGAGCTTGTGGTGCCCAGCAGCTTTTTCTCCCCTGTTGTTTGGCAAGTGGGAGGGAGGGTTACAGTGTTACAGCACTTTTCACACCCACCATTTGGTGGGTTCCGGGTTCTTGTCCTATGATCAAGAAGAATGACCACAGAGTGAGCCAGTCAGGGAAGAATTTTGTTGAGCAACAGAAAACCTCTTTACAACAAGAGGGGACCTGAAGTGGGTAGCCCTCTGTGTGAGAAGGGGCCCGAAAACAGGTAGCCCCATGTGTGGCTGAGTCTGGGATTTTTATGAGCTCAGAATGGGGGAGTGCATGATGATTGGTCCATGGATGGGCCTGGAAAAAAGCACCATTCAATTGGCTAAAAGGCATCGAGAAAGGTCCCTGGTCATACTCTACTCAGAACTGGCAGCTCAGTTTTCAGGCTTTATGCTGTCTTTGGCTTCAAGGTTGGGTTTCTCTGGGGACCTACCTCTGTCTGCCTAGGAATTTGTCTGCCTCCTGCCACTGTCAATCTTCAACATGTGTATTTTTATAGCAATATGGGTAGCTGTATTCTGACTACAGCAATAAATGAGATGTATATAAATCCTATGTTACAGTGCCTGGCCTATGTAAGTGCTCAAATATCACCAAAATTATCAATATAATATCACTGACATTTTCATTATATTACTGATAGCACATAAATTTTAGCCCTATATTGAAGATCAGGTGTCTTGGTGATTTGGAGGGATCCGAGAATATAAATCTCATATCCTCTTTTCTCTTTCTCTTACTCTCTCCCATTTCTCTAATGCATGCCACTCCCATATTTTTCATCATTCCTTGCTGTGCCCATATAAATCAGTAGGACCCCAGAGTATCTCATGCTAATCCAGATCATGACCCTGATATGATATCCTGGTTCCCTAGGGAATTAACCAGTTAATTAGTTAACTTTCTAGAAAGCAGTATAGGGAAGTTAAGGGCTATAATGGTCCACTGGTGCATCTCATATTGCCCAGCAAGAATGGACCACAGTGAGATTCTTAAGCAATCTCTATCTTGACAGTGTTCACCTGGCTCCATTTCAAAAGTACTTGTCACTTGTTGATGGTCTTTGTTTCCATTTCTTATACTGCCTGACTATGCTTAAAATTTATTTTAACCCACTTTTCATTTTCTTATTCCTTTGTGCCACCAATCTCAACCTCCTCTTTAATTTTCTTGCCTTTATTCTTTAAGTCATTGCTGTGGTTTGGTATGAATGTGTCCCCCCAAAAGCAGATGCTAGAAATTTAATACCCAATGCAACAGAGTTGAGAGGTGGGGCCTAATGGGAGATGTTTAGTTCATGAGAATGTGAGGCTATAAATTCCATCTCCTGCTCTCTCTCACCCTTTCTTTGCCCTTCCACCATGAGATGGTAGAGCAAGAAGGCCCTCACTAAATTTGGCCCCTCAACCTTGTAATTCTCAACCTCCAGAATTGTAAGAAAGAAATCTCTGTTCCTTATAAATTACCCAGGCTCAGATGTCCTGCTATAGGAGCACAAAATGGACTAAGATGGTCTCTTTATATTTCTTTCATGTTTAGCTTCAACTCTGTCCTTCAGCTCTGTTTGCATCTCTGCTTATCAACAATTTCCTGTATATCTAATTCACATGGAAAGGATTTAGCTGGCACACAAGGAGGAGACTCACTTGTCCACTCTATCCTTAAACCAATGTCATTTCTTTCCAACTGGTCCTGGATGCAATGTCAGCATCCTTCCCAGCATCCCATTGGATTAGGGGACCAACTGCCCCAGTTTTCCTGGGATTGAACATGATTCCTTGGACACAGGACTTCCAGTTTTAAGGTGGAAATGTCTTCTGCAAACAAGGATAAGATGGTCACTCTACACTAAAGACATCTCTACTAACTGGTTGAGTTGGCATGAGGCATGAAACTATTTCCTACTACTATAATCAAACCTTCCCATAGAGTGTGCTATAATAGGCTGCACATGTGAGGTATACTGAGTTATTGGTTCCTCTGCCCATCAGAGTAGCTGGAGCTCTGGGCCAGTGGCCTTTCTCTAGAAGCAGATTTGTACATTTACTCTATGTGTTGATAAATATTTTCATATTCTACATGTGTGATGATAATTTTAAAAAGTTTGGAATGTATTGAGTTAGATAGTACCCAACACAGCATATCACATTTAAGCTAATCTGTTGACTCTCACGTAGTAATTGCAAGGTAATGTATTTTGTCTCAAATCCCTTTCAGAACATTTCATGTTAAAACATTTTTTATGCTCCATTAAGCAGATACATATTTTACCAAAGCATACTCATTTAAAATATGGCATTTCCCTAGAACTTGAAGTGAAACTAGAAGATTGGGTATATTTACAGTAGGTTGGGTATTATGACATGTTGGTGTCTGAACAGAAAGTTTATATTTCTAGCAACAATATGTTTCAGACCAATCACTTATCTCTGCATCATTTATTTAAGATGAGTGAAATAAAGATTTTGGAATAAATTGTTGTTTGTACATTCACATCTGCCTGGAAAATAATTGTCTTGACTTCAACTTGATATTTATTTTCTGTAAATCCCAATATTAAATATTTATTTATCAACAGGAGAATTTTTGTATGTCACCTCATTCTTTCTTGCAGATTATGAAGCTGTAAATCAATTAAGGTGTGCTCTTGATAATTGTCTTGGGCCAGGATAATTATGGAATATAAATGAAAGTTGAATTTTGTTAAAGGCAGAACATTTATATTGTACGCCAGCTACATTAATGAATTATAGGAGGATTTCACATTCTCAGAGAAATTTATAAATAACTCTTAGTGTTGCTGAATATCAGAGAATACTTGTATTTCTTCAAAATCTAATCATTAAAGATGCGTATAGTGAAAATATTGCTTTCAAAATGCTATTGTGCTGTATGTATACCCTTAGTAAAATAACCTCATGATGAAATTAGTTCAATTACATAAATGCTTAATTATGACTTTGTTACCATTACATAGTCTTATCTAATTAAACTCAACATCAGAGAGTGTTTATTGCCAATTTTATAATTTTACAACATAGGTATAATTTACAACAAGGCATTAATAAACTTTTCTAATAGTGAAGAATATTTTTCTTTCTATGCGTACTATTCTTTTGAAGGCATTAAGCATTATTTTCATTGTGATGAGTATGAAAAATTATAAAATTAAGAAACTAATAAGCACATAGGACTTCATTTCTCTTTTCCTGATTCTGACCTTTCCATTCCTGAATCTGCCTTATATTAGAAAAAAATGTAATTATGTAATTTCATTTAGAGTATTGCTGAAAGATCTTTTCAATTAAGTCTATACATATATTTTTAATGGCATTAAAACTACAATTAAAGTAATGTACATGCTTGGATACACCCTCTCACTACCTCTGGACTGGCACTCAGGTCAGAGTACTCAGGAATGGTTTGGTATAACTTGTGCTAAGGGAAAATATCTGATTTCCAGTGATTGAATGTTTGACTAAAATTTATTTGTAAGCATTTCTTCTGTTCTTTCTGTATTACTTTATTTGAATTTCTTAAAATATATAATAAGCATTATTTTTTAAATAAAGGCATTTTTATAAGAATATGGAACATAAATATATAGATTAAATAAGATCAGTATTGTATTGGAATTTTTCAATATTGAAATGTGTATATTATTTCATTCTCAGTCGTATGTATCATTATCCCAGGGATTTTTCTTGAGTCACATGATCATTCAAGTGTGAGTTTATGTTCTGTTAATCTTTGTAGAGAACCTACAGGATTTAAGTAAAATAATTGTTGACTGATATGTTGTATTCATATGAAAACATCATCGCTTATTTTTGCTTATGAGATATATTAATTTAAACATTCTAAATATAAAAATTTGTGTAATAAATTTCATTATTCATTTAAATATGAAGTAATTTTCTGAGATATAATTTACGTAATATTAGAAAGTTAAAATAAGCATTCTCATTTAAATAATCAAATCACAGAATGGTATATAGATCATATGGGACTGCATTTGAAACCATAGATATATATGTCAATCTGTAATTTAAAGAGGCATTAGCATTTGCCATCCCTGGAAAGAATGAAAGAAATATTGCCAAACATAATTATTTTGAAGGCCAGCATAATTATAACATCAGATAGGAATGATGAATATTTTAAAGTATCTACTATTAGCTTAAAGCTTTCTGTAATAGAAAGCTTAAAAGAAACAAATGAAATACCTCAGATAATTTCTGGATTTTCTAATTGATGGTGAGATTTCTACTTTATCAATTTACCAATGGAGAAGTTGCTGGTAAATTGATGTATTTATTTCTGCCCATGAGGTACACTAATTTAAAACATCTTCACTTTTGTAATGGAGTGAATCTTAATGTTTTTCTTCTTAGACATATAAAATACCACAAATTCTGTTTATTCTTCAAAGAACTTGGTGTCAGTTCAGGCAAGAAGTGTTTGAATACTTAGTCTGTGCATTCATTCAGTGTTCCTGAAAACTTTCTTTATACTACCAGGAAATGTGCTTTGATACAGGTTTACAAAGATGGAGTAAAACATGGCATTTTTCCTTAAGGAACTCTCTATCCCCAAAACCTCAGTCTAATGGGGAAGACAGACAATTACTTTAGAGTTTCATGATGGAGGTATATAAAATGGTGTCATTAAAGCGTACTTAACCAACTCTAGAGATTTTATTGAGGGATGAAGAATAGGATGAGCTCAGAGGAGACTTCCTGTAGAAAACCATACACCATACACTTGTGTTCAATGTTTAATTCATTAAGTAGCCTAAAAGGTACAGAGCAGAGGAAAAATCATTCTAGGCAGAGAAGTAGAATGCACAGAGGTTTAAGGACATGTAATGTTCCTTGAGAGTTTCAAGAATTTCAACATTTCTGAATATTGAGACTATAAAGGCAGGTGGAAGTACCTTGGAGAGGGAAGTAGCGGAATAGTGCATGAAGGACCTTATGTTCCATGCTAAATAATTGGGTTTTATTTAAAAGGCATATCTGTAGCCATCAGAAAATTTAAGCAGGCAAAGGATGTGGTTGGATGTGTATTTAATAAAAATCACTCTGAAACAGTGTAGAGAAGAGATGGAAGGAGGGGAGAGGAATAAAGGTGGTGTGATTGATCAGGAGAGAAATGACAAAGGCATGATCCTAGGCCAGGGCAGTGGAAAATGGAAATACACAGATGGATTGGAGAAAGACTTAGGAATTTAAATCAACTGGCCATGGTGAATGAGTTAAATGTGGGGGAAGCAAGGGAAAAAGGAAGGAGTCTAGGAAACTGCCCAGCTTGGGTAACTGTCGGAGGTGATATAGACTGTGAATTGGAAAATCAGAGAATTAGCAAAATTGGGGATGGAGCTGAACAGAGACAAGAGGGGGAATTCTAGATGAGTACCCTCTTCTGATAATGTTATGAAAATGATATGCAGAGTGAATACTGAATTGTAAGAATTCTAATATTTGAATTGAAAAGACGTAAAGTAATCAAGATCTAAGATCTCTGTCCTCTAAGAACTTGAGAGGGTAACAAAAAGTTAACAAACATACACAAAAATTTAGTTACATTTTATTTAAAAAAGAAAATTTAAAGTATGGTTTCATTTGTATCTTACCCTTGACTTCACGTATAAATTCCTTGGGTTTTGGGTTTTGTCTGTCATCACTTACGCATGGCCTGTATATACCAGTGACTAGTAAATGACTCACTGGTGCTTAGGTAATGTTGTGGAAGGAAAATGGAATGGAGAATGTCTATCAGCTGAATTGTGTTGTATGGTTCTGCAGTGTAGGTGGTCAGAATTTAGAAAAACTTGGCAATATTGGAATAAGCAAGGACGACTTATACAAAGATGGGATTTGATTACTGAGTAGGAGGCAGGCAGCTTTCCAAGAGAAGAGAACAAAAGTGAAAGTAGCAACCAGCATGGTTGCCCATGGGACAGTAAGGATGAAGCGCCAACTAGAGCAGAGGGCATGATGGAGCACTGAGATGGCTGGAGGTGGGGGAAAATAAGGCCTTCTTACAAAATGGCTTAAAAACCAGAAGAATTTAGCTTTGATGTGAGAACAATAAGAAGCATGGTAGCATTGTTTGTGGCAAAGAGAAATAGTTTAATAGATAATATATTAAGAATAAATATTACTATTTTCTTAAATTTATCCAATTTTTTTTCATCTGTAGGATACTGAAAATATTCAGCCTTGGCATTTTGGGAGGCATATCTTCCCCTGTTCTGTCTATCATTACCTCTCTAAGAGGAAGATCTTCATAGCTTTACAGTGCCCTGCCCAACCCACAGTTTCCCCCTAAAGATTCTTCTTTGTGCCAACATACTTAGAGAACACCCTACTTCAAGAAAAGCTATCTATTTCCCTTGATGTGTCAAACATGTACTAGCTACCTGCATAAATAATATGGACTTCCTTGAAGATCCAGAAAGCCCAAAGGCCTGTATTAATATATTTATTAAGTTCCTAGGACATGAACCTTAAGGTGTGAATTCTGCTGAGGATATCAAGGATAAACTAGACTTTTTCTGTTATAATGAGTGCATATAAAGAGGGATTTTGTTGAATAAGTGAAGCTAGAACACTGGATAAATTTGTTTTCTAATTTAAATGTGCTTAGGGCATTTTCCCAGGTTTGGTTTTTCCAATGAATAATTTTATTGCTCTATTTGTATTTATAATATTTATTGGGTCTTTTTCTTTTACGGACTGATTGTTTTCAAATTCTTTCAAACTAAATCTTGCAATATGACTTTCAATCTATGAATATTCAGCTTTAGTGTAAACATTTTGATATTGACACATTGCGATTGCACCTTTCTTAGTTTAGTTTTTTCTTTGCTTGAGAAAATTGATACCAACCGTACTTCTCAGTCTCTGAGTTGTTTCCAGCCATAACTAGTAATCCCATCATTGCCTTAAATGCATTTACCCATGTGTTTGATGTGCTCCAGGTCAACATAACTTTAAATGCATTGTTTATCATAGACAAGAATTTTGGTTATCAATTGTGGTCCATTATGGCCATTCTGTATAACTGCTGTTTTTTTTTTAATAAAGTATGTTTTACTTTGTGACTGCTTTGTAGCTAGAAAACAATCAGCATTCTAAATAAAACTTCCATAAGGGAAAATGGAAAGTACCAAAATCAAAGAAACAAACCTATGCAGGGGAGATAAAAGGACAGATCCAGCCCTTGAACTCAAAGATCTTATCATCTAGCTCATCTGGCTTACCATCATTTTTTCACCCTGAACTATGTTCTAAGAGATAATAGAAAATGGAATGAGAAATTTCTATATGAAACAAACAACATTATGTGCATACTTATATAGTCTGACTTACGCATAATTATGAAGAGAGAAAGGAGAAAAATATTTTATAGATTCAATAAAGATATATCATTATATTTAAATTCCACAGAAATCACATTACAATTGAATTTTAATTTTGAAACAAAGATGTGTTTAATTTACAGACTGTTAACTAGAAAGGTAGAGAATGAAAATATGTTTGTGAATTATAATGTTAAGTATTACTACTCTGGAAAGCAACCTAGATGTATTTAGAAGCATTTTCAATACTAAGGGATTGAAGAAAAAAATGTTTTTTTATTTCTCAGTTACCTTACAAAGAAAATCACAGCAACGTGAAAGACTTCTTCCCTGAACAACTCAAGATAATTAGTGTTTCATTGCATTCTCTTTCATACTTCCCCCAACAAACTATTTTCCAAGTTTAAAAAAAAGTCAATGAACAAATGTCTGTGATGGCTTTTTCTTAAGGCAATGCAATTCTGACCTTAAACGCTTTAGCTTTACTCCTTACAGGGGCTTTTGTAAATAGCAATGTTTACATTGTGCATTGTTAGGAAATAAGGTGTTATAGGTGCCCAAATCAAGTGACCCAATGTGAATTGGTTGATTTTTACTAGATTTTCAATGATGATCAGGAATTAAAATTTCTTTATAAAAGACGTCTTGTTCCTCCAGTGTTGTCAGAGTTAAGTCATTTAGTAATGTGATAAATATCCTCTGTTTTCTCTTCTGATTTCTCCTCTTCCTTTCACCGTCCATCTGCTTGGCCATTTTGTCCCTAATGTACTGAAGTTTAAACCTAGGAGATACTTTTTAGGGCCCCACCATCTCCATCCCTAACTGCAATTAATCTTATCAGTTTCCTCATGGATTAATGTGTTCTTTTGGGGTGTCTTACATCTTTCTTGTTCTATTATTTCTGCCTTTGTCTATAGCAGTGACCTACTGATTTTCATTCTGTCAGTTTCCCCTCCAATACAATCTATAATGCTGTCAGATTCATTTTAATGAAGAATCGCATAGGTCAGATGAAAGGTTCCCCACTGCCTACAAATAAAATACTACTAACTTGGCTTTCAGGCTCTTCCATGCTCCCATGCCATAAACTTTTGCAACCTTCAATGTAGTGATTTCTGTGGTATAAATATCTACACTGTAATTGATTTCAAGCAATCAGTGACTGAAGATCCAACTCAGAAAATTTCTGGATTTGTAACAGTTGCTCATGGGGCTGCTCCAGTCTCCAGCACACACATCAGCCTGAGTTACTCTACACTCTTCAACCACTTTACCCCACCCCCTAGGCAAGCTGAACTCTTTTCTATTCTTGGAGAAAATGATTTCTAATCATTTCTGTCTTCTCTGAAGGTAATTGTTTACTATACAACAACTGGTCTTCTAATCCTTGATTTTTCTCTGTTGGAAGTACTTCTTAATTAACACCAATACGTTACAGCTTCTGATTTTTTGTGGGTCATTTAATTGATTTTGCTACAGTCTCTCAGACTTCCTCAGTCCTGATATTGCATTTCATGTAAATATCCATTGTCTCCTTTCAGAACATGGCTATGGTAGAATGGTAGTAACCATGAGTTTAATGCTGTATGGTCACTGTTAGTAGAGTTTTAATAATTTCACTTGTGATTTTTTATAACTGGAGTCATATGGAACAATGAAGCTACTCTAAGCCTGGTTCATGTGTGATCCCACGTCTTCTTGCTTCCCCCATCTCTAGGACTGGTTCTGAATCACCCATAGCCCTGTTCCAGCCTGGCCTCCCCATCCTGATCCTACCTGCTGCCCACTGCACACAGCAAGAGCCTGGGCATGGGCATGCAAATTCTGTGGTATCTCCAGTCAGATAATAGTGGCTACTGTCCCAGCCCCAAGCTGTCAGTGCTGTGACACATTTGGTGGGAGAATCATCAGGAAAGATCCTCTTGCCCACCATTTCATTTCATACAAATACATAGTCCATCCCAGCAAAAAGGTTGCAATATACGCTTCCACCATGGATTGCTACAGTTCAGTGGGCCTGTGGGAAGAGGAGTTACCTGACTTGACTTCCCCCAACTCTGGCTGGAGTGCACAGCATGTAGGTCCAACACCTGGAGGGAGGGGGAAACACCGCAGGCACATGTGGCTTATACATGTGCAGAGTCTTGCTGCAGGGGGTGGATGGTGCAGGTGCCTATAGGGCTTGGCAGTTGCCTCGGAGCATCCCTGTGCTTGAAAGAGTAAAACATTACATAGCAAATACAAAATATCACAACAAGTAGAGGGAGGAAGAAAGGATAAAAGTTGTATTTGTTAGTACCCTTAATGGACTTTTTCTTTTCCATTTTAAACAAAGAGCCCTGCATTTTCATTTTGCACTAAGCTCTGCTAATTACGTAGCTAATCAATCCTGGCCCATTCTTCATTTGTTTTGCGTACTTCATCTCCGCCTCTCCTCTGCACCTGAAGTCTAGATTCATTTCACAAATGCAGTACTTTGCACAGAACATTAGGAAACTTTACCTAAAGGCAATCAGGACTATCAGATTCACATCCCAGTTCTGCAATTTCTTAGCTGTCGTATGACTTGTGGCAACTTACTGTATTTTTTTGCCTTAGTTTCCCCATCTATAGCATCAGAATTTTTTATTGCTTCATAGATTTTTTGTGGAATTAAGTGAGACAACTTATGTAAAGTGCTTAGTCCAGTATCTGGCATATAGGAAATATTAAAATGGTAGCAGTTCTTTAATTCTTATTAACGTGATGACTATTAGTTTTTGGTGGAGTGAGAGACTTTTGGCTCTGTGCATTCAGTTCAATAAACTGAATTTGGTTAAATTCAATAAGGCATTCTTCCCTTGTGGCAAAGATAAATTAACTACAAGACTTATAATTTTTTCAATTTTTCTTAAAACCTTTAAAAAATTTCTTTTAGCATCATTAAATAACTATATAGTTTTTTCCTCCATATTGTTATGATGCTTACCACGTGCTTACTGGTAAATCCTTATATGCTGTAAATTATTTATAAGCAAGTAGCATTTTTATTTGTCTCATTAATCATTGTATTCCTCACAGCAACTCTTGCACAGCAGATACTCAATGTATGTATATAAAATTAATAAGTGTCCTTTTTGTACTAGGTAAACCATATGAAATTATTGAGTTTGGGATGGCTGAATATTAGCAATTTCATAGGGTACCTATTTTCTTAGGTTCAGAGCCTAGTTCTATGATTATTCATTGATTTTAGGAAATTAAAATAAATTGAAAAATAAAATTTTATATAAAATTTTCTTTACCGTAATGTTTGTATGACCTCTACTTCTCAAGCCTATATAGTTATATCTGCACCATTTGTTTTAGGAAGATGCAGTAAAACACTGGCTAACTGGAATTCACATGTAATAATATCAAATACCTAATTATTTTAATTCTTCAGTATTAAGGATTTTGACTTGAAGAGATCCAGTCCTTCTTTCTGTCTTATTAAACATGATAAATATCATTCAAACTTAACTTGATGATTTGTGATGTTACAGGATTTCAAAATAATAATTTTTGTTTTCATTATATAATGCCATATAGTTTAAGAAAACTATAATTATGGGATTCATGGGATTAATTTTAATCTTTATTTACCAAAGGATATATTTCAGGGACTGCTTTTCTTGTTGATATTAAACTTGGACTCAGCCTCTACCCTAAAAACTGTAGTACAGTCAAAATTTAGTTATGTGAGAGTTGTAACTGGTAATTTTTCAGGTTAATTGAAGTTAATTTTTTATTTATCCACCTGTCTATCTAATCATCTATGTCTCTACATTCTTAGCTTGAATAATTTCTAAATTAATAAAATAAATAATCTTTTTTTTTTTTTTTTTGAGACGGAGTCTTGCTCTGTCGCCCAGGCTAGAGTGCAGTGTCATGATCTCAGCTCACTGCAACCTCTGCCTCCCGGGTTTAAGCAATTCTCTCACCTCAGCCTCCCAAGTAGTTGGGATTACAGGTACGTGCCACCGTGCCCCAGCTAATTTCTGTACTTTTAGTAGAGAACGGGTTTCGCCATGTTGGCCAGGCTGGTCTTGAACTCCTGGCCTCAAGTGATCCACTCGCCTCGGCCTCCCAAAGTGCTGGGATTACAGGCGTGAGCCACCATGCCCGGCCAAGAAACAGAATTTTTATAGCCAAAACATTAGAAATGTTTTCCGTAAGTATTGACCAATTTATGATCTTCATACTCTCATTTATTTGCATTTTTTTTAAAACAAGTCCTCTATCTTGTTTATACTTTATTGTACTAAATTTACCACCATTTTGAAGTAAAAGTCTACTTTCATTGTACCTTAATTTATCTGTTTTAGCTACTTGATGGAAAATTAAGGCCCATAGCCAGTGTATGGAAAATTATTTGAGCCAAATTTAACAGCAACCTCAAATGGCAGGCAGGCATATTCACTAAATCTTGATTACTGGGCATAGAGTGTAGTTTAGTGCTGCTGAGACCATTCCCAATCTTGCTGAGCTTCTCTGAGGGAATTTTTCTGAATATGATTTGTTCTCCTTTTGCCATCAATCTGTGTGCTTATGAAATAACATAAAACTGTTGCCTTGTGCATCTTCAGCAGACTGCTCTGTTTCATTAAAAATACATGGATGTTCAAATTTTTTTGAAGATGCCTTTGCAGAAAACGTAAAAGTTAGATAATTTATACAAGAGAGCATGAAAGCCGAGAAGTAGTAGTACAGATAACATCAAAATATCATGCAACTGTGAAGTGATTTTAATATTTTCACCATTTTTTTGTAAATTCATTATCTGCAAATCCAATATGTTGTTGATGCATACTGTACGTTCACTTGAATTTGAAATGTTCGTGCTTTTTTTAAAGCACGAATATGCCAAAGCTTAAGAGCATCTAAATAAAGCTTTGCTGGTACCTTAGCCCATTTCCTAAAAGAAAAAGAAGAAGACATCTGAGTTAAGATAATCACAAGCTATAGCAAGTTGTGGTAAAATATATGTACCTTAAATGGTAGAATATGTAGTGAAATAGAGTTGTTTATGTTTGTTTGTTTTTCTCCCTAGAAAATGTAAATACAGACTTCTATCACTTACCAGCTGTTTGGGAATAATTATGTAATTTCTCTGAGCTTTAATTTTCCCACTGTAAAATGAGGTTAATAATATTTACTTCACATTCCTATTGGGAAGATTGTGTGAAATTAGTTAGGTAATTAAATAATTAATTTGAGCCCCTACTGTGTTCCAGACACTTCCTGGATTCTGGGGAGAGGGCAGGGCCAGAATCTCTGCTCTCATAAGCCACTAGACCTTACAAATGAGATATTTCAAAAGTGGTAATTATCATAATAATCATCCTTTTCCTCTTACTTAACACTTCCACTCTGTGGAAGCCTGCTTGATTAGAAGAAAACAACATAAAGTAGTAGTACCTTTTTCCATTAAATTCAACTCTATCTTTCAAATGTAGCTTTAGGAATACTAGAAATACCAAACACACCTGAATTAGGTAAGTGTTGAATGCATTTGTGAGATAGAGAAACTGCTTCATAGTGGACAAATGCGCTTTATTAGACCATACAGCTGGTAACTGGTGAATGTGAGAAATGCTTTAAGCTTTAATGAAAAAAAAAAAATACTGCACATGAGAATCTTAATAGACCAAACAGATAAATTTGTATTTTCAAATAATTGTTTTAAAAAAAAAACCACCCCAGATTCCCTTCATATTAATTAATTGATTGATTGGTTGGTTGGTTGGCTGATTTTAGAGACAGGGTCTCGCTATGCTGCCTGGGCTGGTCTTGAACTCCTGAGCTCAGGAGATTCTCCAGCTTCAGCCTCCCAAGTAGCTGAGATACAGACACTTGACACCATCCCTGGCTCAGATTCTCTTTAAATAGAAAGCTCACCTAATGAAATTTTTAAAAAATGTTTTGATTGACAAAGTATCTTTCGACTTTCCATGGACATTTAAATATGTTTATTTAAAAAATAATGTGATCAAATTTAGTTAATTCTGAAGTAATACTTAAAGCAAAAAGGGAAAATAACCCAACCATATGTGCAAGGATATCATGTTTCACAACTCTGGGGGGAAACATCGTTTTGTATTTTGTAAGAATGGTGCCACCTGGAGTTCTTCAAGTCGTTGTGGCCAAGCATACGTATCCAGTACAAATTTTTGGAATAGGTAAGTGTTATCTAGAGAGTTATTCTGTCTTTCTTTTTCTCCTCCTCCTTTATTCCTTTCTTTTCTTTCTTTCTTTTTTTTTTTTCTTTTTCAGAGCACATGCCGTCAATGACACAGCACCCTTTACCTTTGGTTTGGGCTTAGAACATGGGATTTGTAAACTTTTCTGTTTTCCCTTTAAGGAAGGGGAAAGGAACTACCTTTTCCCTTTAAAAACAGCACTTTCTCTGTCTCTTTTCCTAAAGAGAGCTAATTAATAAATAAACTTGCCACAAGTTGTTAATACATTTGCCCTCCCCACATCCATGAACACATTTATGTGCATAGATATGTATATTTGTGTTACACACACACACACACACACAGAGTGTAATATAGCTCACACAAAGTGACAAATCTCAAAGGGAAGCATTTTAAATAGTGGAAAGGGGGAAGTAGAGGAAATATTTTGGTTTATGGACCTTTCTGTTTCTCAAATCAGACTACAGAGGTAGCTGCTTAATCTACCTGTTTATAAAAGAAAAACCCTTGCTGTCATAGTCTGTAGGATGGAAATGTGTAGTGTAGTATCTTACACACATATCTCAATTTTCCTAGGGTAGGTCTTTTGGTATTTGTGGGGTTTATATTTGTTTTTGTTTGTTTGCTTGCTTTTTAATATCTATATAAGGCCTTAGGCAAATCATGCTTACTTTCATTTCATTCAGAATAGCCAGCCAGTTACGTTGTTCAGCAAACGTTGTCAGTGTTCCAGCAATATTTCTTTTTCTTACCATTTGAGACTCCCAGCTGCCAGCACCTGCAAGTGTTTGCTTGAGGGCCTCTTGCCACCAGAGCATGGTTTGTGCCTCCATGTGGCAAGCTGGAAGTGCCAAGAAATTAATGAATCTGGGAGCACCACTCACCCAGAGACCAGCGAGAACTTGTGTATGATATACCCAGTTCCCTTGCACCGGGGTGGGATAACTCTAGGGCCTGGGTTTTACCTGGGTTCCTAATATTACCCAGCAGAATCAAGCTCCAGTTCCCCACAATGGAAATTTGCCTAGTAATGAAAACTCCATTGACTACCTTTCCTTCCCTACCAATGGTTATTGAGATCAGCTCACAGATAAACTGTTCACACTCAAATCCTTGGCTCAGATCTGCTTCTGGGAGAACCCCACATAAAACAAAACACTCTGGCAGAGTGTCCCTTTTTGTGTGTGAATTTAGGTCCTTTCTTAGGATTGTCTTTCTCCCCCCATGCACCCTCCCATGTTGCGCAAACTGGTGTTGAATTCCTGAGCTCAAGCAATCCTCCTGTGTATCTGTGACTACAGGTGGTGCACTACCACCTGTACCCAGCTTTCCAGATTATCTTTCTTTTCAGGAGGTTCAGCCTGCCATGAATACTAACATCATCTGATTAACTGTTTTATGATCCAAGCTAGATTCTCACCTAAACAACTTTAAACAACCCGATAAGCTTTATTTTCAGATTTTTTTTGGTAGGATTTCTATACTTTCCCATCAAGTAAGTGCATGATGGTATCTAAAGAACTCTTATTGCCTTGCTTATCAGTGCAAACAGGTACAATTTGTTGAGCAGCATTTTTCTGACAAGAATTTGTATTTGATTACATATTTTATATTTTAAAGCAGTTTAGTTTTCAAAAGCTCATGCTTCCAAGTAAAATATGCATTTTTAAAAACCTCAAAATTCACTTCTTTATTACCCCAGCACTCAATCTCTGTAATCACTGGCCTATAACCACCGAACATCTTTCCATAATAGCATTTGCAACAGAAATGTAAAGAAGATTGAACCAATTTCAAAAAGATTACACCAAGAGGATTTTTCTTCTGAAAGATTTTTGCCCTATTCTTTAAGACATGCTGTTTCCTCAGGTTATACTCAACTAACTTTCCCATAAAGATAATTTGAAGTATATTCTCTTTTTTCCCAACTTCCCACCTCATGGTGGCAGCATCCAGATTAGAATTACTTTTTTAAATGAATGTGTCTCACAATTAGGCCAACTTAGCACACTCAGAAAGTAAGATGAAATTTCAGAAAGATACCACTACTACAATAGTTGAGGAATCAGTTAACACTGGAAATAAACTTATTGCCCATGTGTATGGATAAATTGTCCTAGAAATATGTATTTTTTACTTCTCAGGATAGCATATGACTAAGTTAACATAATTCAATTTTTAAAAAATATTTTTAACATGCTACCAAGTATATATTAGACATCATTAACCAGAAATGCATAAATAATGTTTAACAGTGTAATAAATAACATATATAATTTAAACATGTATATATAAATATAAAGCAATATATATGTGTGTGTGTGCATGTATGTATATATGTGTGAATATATGTGTGTGTGTGTGTATCCAGCACTGCTCACCATTAAAGTATGAACACTTTATTATTTCACAACTATTTTGATTGGCTCAATATACTATGTTGAACAGGGGGAAGTTTGCTTTGATGTGTCAGTAAGAAACCTCCTCTCAATATGTAAGTGGCAAATCTATACCAAATGGATAACATCAGTCTAGAAAGTGGATGTAAAAATATTCAGAGCAAATTAGCTGTCCCTATACCAGATAAAACTACTCATACAACCATTCTAAATGATTTTCCTTGGTGGATCACTAAGAAAAAAAGTTTTATAAGAAAGGACCCTATCCTTATACCATAGGTCTATGTAATCATCTTTCTAAGAGATGCCTAATTGCTTGAGGTCCTCCTTTTCTGAAACTACTCACCATCTAATTTTGTTACTCCCCAGAGTCTCACCAGAAGGAGAATACCAACAGTTTCTATTGAAGGATTTATTCCTGTCACAAGCCATTTTCCTTTCTTCCCATACTGACTAGAGCTGGCTATTTGGTGAATTCCAAATGAGCTTCCACCTAAGTAGCTGTCTCTCATAATGAGTTTCTGTCAAAGAGAAATCAACATACAGAGAGAACAGACACACACATATTGACTTTAATGCAGTGACAAAACAAAGCATTTGAGTCACTTATTTAAGAACCAGACCTCTGCAAATGGAACTGGCATGTCTAATCCCATTATTGCCAGCTTTCCCACACAGAGGCAGCATTACTGACCTATCTATAACTGTCCAATAAGTCCAGGGCCTTTGGTTTCTGTCCTTGTCAACCTCTAAATATTTCAAGCTGACATCAAAACAGAATAGGCAGGAGATAGAAAGAAACCAGCATCAACATGTATTTGCTTGTAAATATCAATTTGTTTTTGGCTGTAATCATCCTTAAGTGGACTTCTGTGACATGATCTGGGCTTTTAAAAAATAGCAGAAACCTGGACTATAATATATTTGTAAACATTTTATCCTTTGATTAGTTTTGTTTTGCTTTCACTTTGCTATGTAACTGTGCTGTTAGTCTTAAGATGAACTGGGGTGAGTTCAGGGCTGACTCAAGGAGGCCCATTTCATTTGAGTCACCCTGGGATGAACGAGAAAAGTTGCTGGCCTCAAGTCTCTTACTATCCCTTGGGAACCAAACACATACAGAACTATGATTCATGTCCATCTGTGAGAAGTTGTAGACAGAAGTATAAAGTGCTGTAAGAGCCTGAGGCACAGAAGAGGGAATTGTCTGCAGACAAGGAAACTACCATGAGTCACTTTCTCTGAGGTTTTCTTTTTTACTCAAGTTCTGTAAGTCTACATCTCTCTCAGTGTGAGCAACCCAACTGAGCTGTTAGAGCTATGTGTCCATGACTTTAAACCTGCCTCCCTTGGTAGGAAACAAAAATCCTATGTGTAGATTTAGTATATAGGTCTTCTGATGCCACCATCCAGAGCTTATCTTTCCTCCTGCTGGCTTGAGTGTAGGTCTCTGAAGTTAGGGAAGTCAACTGCAGTTTTTCCTAGATAACAGTGGAATTGAATGCCACCTGTGGGCATCTGGGTTCTGAAATCCGATTGATGTTACTCAGTGGAAGGAATTTCACAAATATACTACCTGAATCCCACAGCGGGCCACTATGGCAAGCAAGGAAATTGTAGCCACTATGTAAAGAACCTCAGGCTGTGGCCTGTGCAATTCTAGCAAGCATCCTTTACATGGAGCAGAATGTAAGTGAGATTTCTGCATTGCACAGTACCAGCCTGCACATCCATTGGATATTTGCTTCTGGACGTATTTTCTCAGCCTCCACCTTTTACATCAGAAAGAGATACCTCGTTTGCACAAGAAAATTTTATTGTATTTGATTAAAAAATATTTTGTGTGATACTATATGTTTAAATTATGGTTTACATTTTACAAAGTATTTTAGTCATTATAATTATCTTAGGAATTAAATAGAAAGTAATTAGCCCATTGTCCATATGTAGAACTGAGCTAAAAAAAAAAAAGATTAAATAATGTGAGTTAGTTGAAACTTACATTATGTAATTGAGTTAGAGCTCAATTATTATGAAGCTTGATGACATTTTGTCAGCAAGGTCTGGGGTGGAAATCAGCCCTTGTGTCTGGGACTAAGTCTACTGGCTCTGCTCTGTCTTACCTCCTGAGTACACTTCATTGAATAATGGTCTGCTCCACTGGAATTGCCAGGTCCCCATTTTTCCATTTAAGAGTTACTATCTTTCTGGTTTCCTGTGGGGAATAAAGCTTTGTAAATAAGAATTATGGAATAATCTGAGAATCTTAGAGAAGGAGAAGCTGGTAACTAATATAAAAGTCCTGTATTGGTTTTGGCTGTGTTAATCTTTTAAAAACGTCCTCCTCTAAAAAATTGTATCCACTCATATCCTGGATTTAAAATGCAAAAGATATTCCCCAGTAAAACCTCACACTGATTTCCCACAAATGGAGAGGAGGATGGTAAATTCCAAGGACAAGAACACTAATGTATGAGGCAAGAGACACAGTTTTGCTTTTGGCTCTATTGCAATCAACCTATCGGTTCATCAATTCAAGAATTAAGTATTGAGTATCTTTAGATGCCAGAAATTGTGCTGGGTGCCTTCAGTAAATTTTTAGGTTAGAAGGAAGGCAGACATTAAACAAATAACTACCCAAGTAATTATAATTATAGAAAGTGCTCTAAAGAAAAAATAAAAGGCTTGTATAAGAGTAAATGACAAGTAGGAGTTACTTAGAGAAAAGGGGGGCAGATAGTATGTGGGATGGGTGGGGGAGGGGCCTCTGGAAGCATAGTTCAGGTAAAGAGGGCAGCATATGTGAAGATCCTGTGCCCCAGGTTATATTTGAGAATTGAAAAGATCAGAGTGACTAGAGTAGTGCGCATGAAGGGGAGAGGGCTGAAAGTTAAGATTAGAGACATCAACGGGAAGATCATACATGGCCTCAAATAGTGTTTCACTTATCTACTGAGGTATAACAAGCTAACCCAAACCTTAGACTGTTAAAACAACAATTTGTTATTTCTCATGATTATATATTAAATAATTGTGCATTGGCTGTGCTCAGCTGAGTGGTTCTTGTGCTCCACATGTCAGCTGGGTCACTAAGCTGCATTCAGCTGTGAGCTCAGCTGGGGTTCTACTTATGTCTGTGGTTTCATCTGGGTGGCTGAAATAGCAGGAAACTGGCTTCTTCCACATGATCTTTCATAATTCAGTAGTCTAGCTGAGCTTCTTGAAATTTGAATGGATTCAAAAATGATTGGAGCTGATGGTACCAGGCCTCTTATCACCTAGCCTTAGAACTGGCATAGCCATTCTATTTATTAGTTAAGGCAAACCACAAGGCCAGCCCAGGTTTAAGGGGGAAATAGACACCATCTATTTTTAGGAGTTGTGCTAAGCCTTTAGACAGCGGAAGGAAAAGATTTGTTTTGAGGCAGTATACCATATAGATAATTTTAAACATTTTGGACTTGAGATTTTTATTATTTGTTATAAATATAGCATATTTGAAATGCCTTATTTATTGTAGTCTTCACAACAATATAATGAAATAAGCAACATCATGATACTCTTCTTAAGTTAGATGCATCACAGAACTCTTAAGTGGCAAGACCAGGCACCAACTGAGCCCTAACTCAAAGCAGTCTGTTTTTGACCACCATGCTGCTGCATGACCATTTTGCTGATTCTCAGTCATAGTTCTTTCATCTTTTCAATGATGAAATCCATGAGGATGACTAAAATGTGTGAGGACTGTAATAGGCAAAGCTATCATATGTAAGTTTAAAGCATAAAAAAAGTCCACCTTTGGAAAATCTCATTGTTAATCCACTCCTTGATACAGTTCAGAAAATGAATTAATTAATAACTTAGGAACAAAAGGAGCTCATTAGCCCTAACTCCCTAAACCCATCTGCTATTATTGTTAGAAGCTGAGATTCCCAAAGTCCCCCCAGACAAATGGAGAAACATTATCAGTGACATTAGGGGCTCTTTCTCCAACCAGGTACCCTTGCCAGTTGCTCATTTATTTCTAGAAATCTCAGACATGTCTCATGTGACTTCATAAATAAATCTTCTTGCTACCACCTGGTGTTCACAACTTTCCTTCTCTCCTACGCTAGAATTTTTTAGTGAGATTTCCTTCCAGATCATCTACTGCTTCTAAAGCCTCATTGTATGTTAGGTGCTGAAATGGGAAGATTGCTTCTTTATCCTTTGTGTTTAACTCTATTAGAGTTACTGCCTCCTTACAAACATCCTGATAGTTTGTAAGACTTAAAATGGAAATATGCAAGTCACATAGAGGAGGGAATTTGTATTCTTCGCCCCTCTATCCCTAGGATGAATCTGAATGGCAGTTACCAGGCAGTCTTCAGAGCTTTTTCTTTTCCCCTGTTGACTGAGGCTTGGATATTGATTTGAACTTTTCTGATTCCATCTCTACTTAAGATGAATTTTCTCTCAGAAGAGTCATCAATCCTTCATGCCAATAGACTTCTGGTAGCTACACTACCAGTCTGCCAGACATGGTCAGATATGTATGAGTACTGGGATCTACAATTTAATTTAAGCTTGAGCCGTTGTTCTCAGTGTACTATCATGTTATGTGATGTTTACTTTCATGTGTCAACTTGATTGGGCTAAGGGATGCCCAGAAAACTGGTAATACATTATGTCTGGGTGCATCTGTGAGGGTGTTTCCAGAAGAGATTAGCATTTGAACTGGTAGTAAGTAAAGAAGTCCATCTTCACCAATGTGGGCAGACATCATCCAACCTGTTGAGGACCTGAATAGAACAAAAAGGTGGAAAAAGGGCAAACTGTCTCTTCCTGAGGGACATTCATCTTCTGTCTTCAAACATCAGCACTCCTGGTTCTCTTGCTTGAGGATTTGAACTACAACTTATACCATTAGCTCCCCTGGATCTCAAGTACTTGGACTCTAGCTGAATTACACCACCATCTTTCTGGCTTCTGCAACTTGCAGATGGCAGATTGTGGGGCTCTCAGTCTCCATAATTGTATGAGCTGCATAGTATAATAAATCTCTCTCTCTGTCTTTGTCTCTCAGTCTGTATAGACAAATATAGATAGATGATATAGATATAGATCCTATTAGTTCTGTTTATCTTGAGAACCCTAGCTAATACATAACAATAATATTTTCTGTAAATTAAGCAAGTTTTGTATTTCAATCTCATGTGACTTCATTGCAGTATTGAGGTAATCATGATTTACCCATAGGTTAAGAAAGACATTTTTGCTTATGGTAAGAAATAAATTGCTGGGGCTGTGTCTATGCTATTAAGCAACCAATAGTTGTTAACCAAACAACTGTTTAATGGATTAACATATTTACTGATCTCTGAGTTGTTTTGGAGTTTTAAAGGATGCAAGTGTTTTCTCTGAAAGAAAATTGGCAGCATGTTTCTGCTGGCAGGGCTGTGTGTCAAAATGGAATTGGTTGAGATAATAAATGTACTTTAAAAATAATCTGTTGTGTTTATGTAAGTTTTTGTGTGTGGCTGCCTCCACCTTTATCGTCTTCCTATTATTATCCCATGTGTCCTTCCAGGAGGTAGAATGCTTTAAGACTGTCAGTAGAAATAAGAGACAAAAAATTGTGTTCTTCAATTATTAGGAAACTTTTCAGATGAAAATCCATTTTAAAACAGAAAGTGGTTTTCTATGAAAATGAATTTCCTGAAACTCAAGTTAGTCTTTTATTTTTCAAAAAAAAAAAAAAAAAAAAGAAGCTTTTGCCACTTCCAAATACCACTCAAGTAAATAATAAGAATGAGATACAGAAAGCAGGCTGATGGAAGTGATACTTTTGTTTGAATGAGTCACAGATTAATTATAAGAAAAGTTGGCCGGGCGCGGTGGCTCACGCCTGTAATCCCAGCACTTTGGGAGGCCGAGACGGGCAGATCACGAGGTCAGGAGATCGAGACCATCCTGGCTAACACGGTGAAACCCCGTCTCTACTAAAAATACAAAAATTAGCCAGGCGTGGTGGCGCGCGCCTGTAGTCCCAGCTACACGGGAGGCTGAGGCAGGAGAATGGCGTGAACCCGGGAGGCGGAGCTTGCAGTGAGTCGAGATCGCGCCACTGCACTCCAGCCTGGGCGACAGAGTGAAACTCCGTCTCAAAAAAAAAAAAAAAAAAAAAAAAAAGAAAAGTTTAGCTTTAGAGCAGACAAGTAAATATACTGCCACAGAGGTTGTTTTGTGTCCTAAATTACCCCAAAATGTAATGGCTTAAAACATGATTTATTGTTTCTCATGATTCCCTAGGTTGACTGGACTCAGTGTGCCAATGTTCTACTCCATACATTGTAGCTGAGGCCATGCGTACACTGAAATGTCCAAGGTGGACTCACATCATTCAGGGTCTGTCTCCACATTGCCTGTCATCATACAGTAGTTTAGGATGAGATTCTTTTCAGCTTGGTGGTTGGCTTTTAAGGATGAAAAATGTAAGCTACAGGCCTTTTTATGTCTTATACCTTATTTTGACCTTATTTTTTGGGTCTAAGCAAGTCACCAGCCTAGGTCACATTCAAAGGGAGGGGAGTTAGCCTCCACCTCTTCGTAGGAGAAGTGGCAAAGTGTTTGGAAGCATCTTTAACTCACCATGGAGATATCAGTTTACTCATCCATTGAGGTTTTGAGAGTCTACTGTATTCCTGACACTATTCTCAGTGCTATAAGGAATAGACCCTTGAAAGAATCCTTCACTTTCTTTCAGCTTCATTACTGACATACCGTGCAATCTTAGCCAAGTTTCTTTTCATTTTTATAACTTACTCTTCTCATCTTTAAAATGGAGATAATAATTGTTGCTTTACATGTAATTAAGTCATTTAATTTTCACAGTTGTGATGTTAACCTAGGTAAAACACTTAGAATGTGTTAATGCATGTACAGAGATAGAGCAGTACCAGGCACATAACCACTCACAAGTTAGTTGTTATTGTTGTTATTGCTTGCTAATGAGAAAAGTGGAGCCAAGGGGATTGTGACTTGCCCACTGATCTATTTAATGGCAGATTCTGTTTTAGCAATATAAGATAAAATTACCTTATAATGTATTTTCTCATGTAATTGGCCAAAGGTTTCTGCAAAATGCAATTGACTTGCTTTTTAATAAATTATCTGGGAACATTTTGCAAGCCTGTTACATAGACTGACAGAATGTACTTCCCATTCTCTGTTCTAGCTCCAATCCAATTACTCTCATGGCTCTTTACCGTTAGACACCTCCTCACCTTCTCTAGTCTTCTTTTACTTCTCCCATATCAAATCCTATATTCCAGCCATATCAGATCACTTGCAGTTCCCACCTTTAATACGCTGTTTCACACCTCCGTGTCTTTATTATACTCTGTTCCCAGTTCTGGAATGCTGATATCCTATTACTTTATGCCCCAGCTATTATCTGCTCTTTTTTCTTCCTTGCCTTAGATGTTTCCTATTCCTTTCCTGACTTCTCCTTCCAATTTGAATCTGCTTGGGCCTTTCCCCCGCTACTCCCAAAGCACATGATTACCTCTTTCATGAGACGTTATTATATTATAAATTATCTATTACTTATGCATTCCCATAATCTTTCTAAGCTGGAAGGTATGAAATACATCTTTTTTCTTCTGAGTTCTCAAAACCGCATGGTGCCATAAAAGCTGTGTCATCACAAGTATAGTTACCTAAGTAAGGTTTCTTTTCTTTTCTTTTAAAAAATATGTTTTTAGAAATGGAGTCTTACTCTGTCACCCAGGCTGGACTGCAATGACACAATCATAGCTCACTGCAACCTTGAACTCCTGGGTTCAAATGATCCTCCAGCTTCAGCTTCCAGAATAGCTGGGATTAAAGGCATGGCCACCATGCCTGGCTCCCGAGTAAGGATACTTAATATGTATTTTACAGCCACAATTTCTTACAAAAGGAACCAGAACCAAAAATTTATTTTCAATATCATATTTATATGTATTATATATTTTCTAGAATTTCTATTACAAGCTGTAGTTTTGGGTTTTTTTTTAAACATCATCATTGGCACTTAATGTAAGCCATTTAAAGATATGGCAAAAGGACTATTAGAATTTATGCATGCACATTTTATTTTCCCTAGAATTAGAACAACCCAGATATTTAGGGCCAGCAAATTCCCAGTACTTTTCATGTAATATAGCTTGGAGTTTCTTTTCGACCTGCTAATGTTGGATAAACATTTCAGTCATTGAAGATACAAGCTAAAGTTTAAATCACGGGCAACTTGGAGGATATTTGTCTGCTTCTATTTGGGTGACTAGATGACTCATATAAGTGGAATCATGAAGTATTTATCCTTCTGCATCTGGCTCGTTTTGCAGATGATAATGTCTCATAGGTTTAACCATGCTGTAACAAATGGCAGCATTTATTTCTTTTTTAGGGCTGAAATAATGTTCTATTGTATGAAGACATTTGTCCTTGGGTATCCAAGGGTAATTGGTTCTAGGACCCTCCACTGAACCAAAATCCACATCCACTCAAGTCACTCAGTTGGTCCTGCAGTGCTCACCTATACAAAAAGTTAGCCATCCTTATCTGCAAGCTCACATCTCTCAGTACTGTATTTTCCATCTGTATTTTGTTGAATCTGCAGATGAGAGACTTGCAGATACACAGAGCCAAATGTATGCCAATTATTATGATTGGTATTTTTTGAGACAGAGTCTCACTCAGTCACCCAGGTCGGAGTGCAGTGGTGCATCTCCACTCACTGCAACCTCTGCCTCCTGGGCTCACGTGATTCTCATGCCTCATCCTCCTGAGTAGCTGGCGCTACAGGCATGCACACCATGCCCAGTTAATTTTTGTGTTTTTCGTAGAGACAGGGTTTCGCCATATTGACCAGGCTGGCCTCGAACGCCTGGCCTCAAGTGATCTCCCTGTCTCAGCCTCCCAAAGTGCTGAAATTACAGGTGTGAGCCACAGCACCTGGCCCACGTTTTTCTTTTTTTAAATTATTTCATCTATAAGTGACATTTAGATTGTTTCCATATCTTGGCTGTAGTCAATAAGGCTGCAGTGAACAGGAAGGTGCAGATATCTTTTCAAGATCTGAACTTTGATTCTTTTGAATATATTTCCAGAAGTGGGACTGCTGTATCATACAGTAGTTCTATTTTAAATTTTTTGAGGAAACTCAATACTGTTTCCCACAGTGGCTACACCACCCTATATTCCCATCAACAGTGTATAAGAGTTCTAATTCCTCCACAAGCTCGCCAACACTTACCTTTTGTTTCTGTTTACTTGTTTCTTTTTTGATAACAGACATTTTAGCAGGTAAGAAGTGAAATTTTGTTGTGGTTTGGATTTAATTTTTCCAATAAGTTATGTTGGCACTTTTTCGTATACCTACCGGCATTTTGTATGTCTTCTTTGGAGAAATATTTATATATGTATTCAAGTCTTTTGCCCAATTTTTAATTAGTTTGTTTCTTTGTTTTTGTTTTGCTATTGAGTTGTAGGAGACTCTCCTTTATATTGGACATTAATCTCTTATGAGATAGGTGGTAGCCAGAGGTTGTGGGGAGAAGGAAATAGGGAATTGTTTTTCAATGGTATAAAATTTCTGTTATGCACGTTAAATAAATTCTAGAGGTTTTCTGTACAACATAGTACCTACAGTTAATAATACAGTATTGTGTTTATTAAAATATAAGAGGATATATCTCATGTTAAATTTTCTTACTGCAAAGCAAACAAAAAACACACAAAAGAACACAAATAAATTATTGGAGGTGACTATATACTTAGTACCTTGGTTGTGGTGATGGTATTATGGGTATAGGCTTATGGCCCAACTCATTAAAAGATATACGTTGAATGTGTGCATTTTTTGTGCATCGATTATATCTCAATAAAGCTAAAAAAATAAAAATTGAAAACTGAAGTCAGGGGAATGTTGGCCAATAATGACATGCTTTTTGCCAAAGCACTGCTTAGTTGGGTTATGAAAAATCAAAGAGCATATTGGCATCTCTTAAGAACAAGGTTATTTTAGTCTAAGTAAAATACAAATTCTACTTTGAAAAAGTACAAGGACTTCTTTCCCATCATACTGTACTGTGACACATCAACTAAAAGCATTACTTCAACTTCTGTCTGTGCTTTCATAACCCTTTTGTCATCTTCTTGGCTTTATGTCTCAAACCAATGGGACTTTTATAGGCTGATCATAGACACAGCTTCACTTTTTGAAAGGGCCACTAGCTTTCTCCATGGTGGCCTCTCCCTAGAGCAAAGGAGACAAACAATGCAGGGTCTGATGTTGCTAATTAAGCAATCTAAGATTTTGGCAAATGAACTCCAGGCACTGGTTGATTGAGAATTCCCACTGCAGCTCTAGCTGTGGGTTTGTGTCCAGGTTTTGCCACTTAGATACAGAACAGTGAAGTTACTCATGAGAGGTCTTAAAGTTTCTGTCTCTTCATTTGCATAAGGTAGATAATAAGAGACTCTAAAGAAATAATCTAAAGAATTATTGAACAATAAAATGAACTAGTTCATATACAATTATATGATTATCTCTATGTCACTGACAAGAAAATAGACTCAGAGAGGTAAATTAACTTATTTAATGTCACATAGTTACAAAGTAACGTGACTGGGACTTAAATAAATAAAATTTACTTTCTTTATATGCTAATGCTGCTTATTACTTCCCATCCTGACAGAGAGAGATTTGCAGAGCCCTCCACTTAACACACATTCTTTTTTTTTTTTTTAATACTTTAAGTTCTAGGGTACATGTGCACAATGTGCAGGTTTGTTACATATGTATACATGCACCATGTTGCTGTGCTGCACCCATTAACTCGTCATTTACATTAGGTATATCTCCTAATTCTATCCCTCCCCCCTCCCCCCACCCCACAACAGGCCCCGGTGTGTGATGTTCCCCTTCCTGTGTCCAAATGTTCTCATTGTTCAATTCCCACCTATGAGTGAGAACACGCAGTGTTTGGTTTTTTGTCCTTGAGATAGTTTGCTGAGAATGATGATTTCCGGCTTCATCCATGTCCCTACAAAGGACATGAACTTATACTTTTTTATGGCTGCGTAGTATTCCATGGTGTATATGTGCCACATTTTCTTAATCCAGTCTATCATTGATGGACATTTGAGTTGGTTCCAAGTCTTTGCTATTGTATAGTGCCACAATAGACATACATGTGCATGTGTCTTTATAGCAGCATGATTTATAATCCTTTGGTTATATACCTAGTAATTGGATGGCTGGGTCAAATGTTATTTCTAGTTCTAGATCCTTGAGGAATCGCCACACTCTCTTCCACAATGGTTGAACTAGTTTACAGTCCCACCAACAGTGTAAAAGTATTCCTATTTCTCCACATCCTCTCCAGCACCTGTTGTTTCCTGACTTTTTAATGATCGCCATTCTAACTGGTATGAGATGGTATCTCATTGTGGTTTTGATTTGCATTTCTCTGATGGCCAATGATGATGAGCATTTTTTCATGTGTCTGTTGGCTGCATAAATGTCTTCTTTTCAGAAGTGTCTGTTCATATTCTTGGCCCACTTTTTGATGGGGTTATTTGTTTTTTTCTTGTAAGTTTGTTTGAGTTCTTTGTAGATTCTGGATATTAGCCCTTTGTCAGATGAGTAGATTGCAAAAATTTTCTCCCATTCTTTAGGTTGCCTGTTCACTCTGATGGTAGTTTCTTTTGCTGTGCAGAAGCTCTTTAGTTTAATTAGATCCCATTTGTCAATTTTGGCTTTTGTTGTCATTGCTTTTGGTGTATTAGACATGAAGTCCTTGCCCATGCCTATGTCCTGAATGGTAATGCCTAGGTTTTCTTCTAGGGTTTTTATGGTTTTAGGTCTAACGTTTAAGTCTTTAATCCATCTTGAATTAATTTTTGTATAAGGTTAACACACATTCTTACCTTCACATTAATCTGTCCTAATTCCTCCTATTTCTACCTAAATAATTCCTTTGGATTATGACATTTGACTCCAGAAATCAAACTGTGAATCTGAAAACTCCTACACTAATCCATCAAAACTTACAGGTATCTTAGGATAAATTGTATGGTTATATGGTCTGTCACTTGACTGCAAAAATCTCTTACAAGATATTCATTCAGTTAGCCATGTACTAAATTGAGGAAGTATGCATCAGTTTAGATCTAAGCTATGTTATTAAAATTGCCTGAAAATTAGTACATATGATAGTTAAAGAGATATAAATAATTGTGTGAATTGTATTAAATCATTTTTTGTAGAAGGTAAACAATTAGAAGTTTCACATTTGAAAGATTAAAAATGATATTAGAGAAGAAATATTCATATTAAGAATTATGGCCAGGCGCAGTGGCTCACGCCTGTAATCCTGTCACTTTGGGAGGTCAAGGCGGGTGGATCACATGAGGCCAGGAGTTTGAAACCAGCCTGGCCAACATGGGGAAACCCCTTCTCTACTAAAAATACAAAAATTAGTTGAGTGTGATGGTGCACACCAGTAATCCCAGCTCCTCAAGAGGCTGAGGCAAGAGAATCACTTGAACCTGGGAGGTGTAGGTTGCAGTGAGCCAAGGTTGTGCCACTGCACTCCAGCCTGGGCAATACAGCAAGACTCTGTCTAAACACATACATACATATATATTAGGGCTAGGTGGGGTGTCTCATTCCTGTAATCCCAGCATTTTGGGAGACCGAAGAGGGAGGACCCCTTGAACTTAGGAGTTTGACATCAGCCTGGGCAACATACTGAAACCCATCTCTACAAAAAAAAAATAACAAATAAGCCAGGTGTGGTGGCATGTACTTGTAGTCCCAGCTACTTGGGAGGCTGAAGCAGGAAGATCACGTGAGCTCAGGAGTTTGAGGCTACAGTGAACTATGATCATACCATTGCACCCAAGCCAGGGTGACAGGGTGAGACCTTGTCTCTACAAATAAATAAATAATACATAAAATATTCTCTACAGAGTGACCTTGGAATTCTGTACTATCTTTGGATCACACACTTCAATACATGAGTTTTTATTTATTAAGAGTTAATATTTTTGAACCTATATTTCCAAATTGACATAGGGAAAAAACTATTTTAACATCGAATAAGAACTTTGACTATATGACCTGAGTTAAATATTCCATCTCTCCCATTTTATTAAAGCATTTACTTCAAGGTCATATATTCTTGCATTTATTCTAAAAGGTGAAAAATTATGTCATTCAACAAACTTTGAGTATCTATCATTTACTAGGCATTAAGCTGAAGGAATTGGACACCGTACCTGACCTTAAGGTAATAGGAGCCTAGGACTGCGGTTGGAAAACTTTCCCGTAAAAGACCAAATAGTAAATATTATAGGTTTGCAGGTCATATGGTCTTTGTCGCAACGCAACTACTCACCTCTGCCACTGTACCCTAAAAGCAGACATAGATAATACACCAGCAAGCATGACTATATTTCAATAAAATTTGATTTACAAAAATAGGTAGTGGATCAGTGGACCATAGTTTGGTGATCTAGGGATGAAGCAAGACAGTTAATCACAATACAAGAACTTTGCCTTTGTAAATGCGTCTGTGAAGAATCTGGAGTGAGCAGGAAAAAGGGAAGGAAGGAAATTAGAGAAATTATCAAGCAAGTTTTCTCAGAGAAGATAATGGCTGAATTTTATCTTAAAAATATGGAGCAATTCACAAGGAGGCCATGCTAACTTCTATTTCATGTTAAGAATAGAGGCTATTGTAAATCTTGTCACCTCAGCCTAAACCAAAGTTTCCAAACTATGTAGTATGGAATTCCTCAATACGTTAATAGATATTCCCGAATAAAGGAGTTACCTGGTTGAGTAAGTTTGAAAAATACTCTTTTCCTTCTTCAATTAGCTTTCTCAGTGTTTTTAAATTTCTTTTAGCAAATAAAGACTTTAATAAGTCATGTAGTAAAGAGGATTTTTCAAATTTTTATAACTCAGAATTTTAAAATTTATTTATGGAGCCCTTCTCTTGATGTGGAATACCCATTAATGTATTTCAGAAATAGTATTTTGAATATTGTGGTTTTCAAGACAGTCATAAACTAAGGATTAAGAGTCCTAGACCCATTTATCTGCCCATATGTAGGCAGCAAGGTTTCAGAAGCACTTTAAACAGATGGCTTCCCATCATAGGAGTGTCCTGGGCAACAGGTGTCCAGCCTTTGGGAGATGAGAGGTTGAGCAAGACTCAGTCACCAGGGGTTTTGAAGTTTCATGCAGAACAAATAGCAAACTCACTTGCTGAACTGGAAAAATTATGAAATTATAAAGTGAGACAGTATTGCTCCCAAAGGGCGTTTGCTTGTCACAAGGATCAGGAATGCTATTGGTATTTCATGGGTAGAAATGAGAGATGATAAACGTTCTGCAGTACATAGGCCAGCCCTGCACATTGAAGATGTGTGCTGTCCCAAATGCCAATAGAGCCCCATGGAGAAACACTGTTGAAGAACAAGGAGTGGGGGATCACCTCCCAAGTTTCAGAAGACTGGGAAGAAAATTGGGGATAAACCTTATAGGCACATCACCATTAGTGCAGCCATTAAATATTTAAAAGGTCATACATTCCTTTTTCATTCTTAACAACCAGATGTAATTTATTTAATTCCATAAAAATGTATATGATTTTATTTTTGATGCAGGCATATGCAATTGTAAAACTTACAGAGCAAAGATCAGGTGCAGTGTGATCTTTTGAATAAGCCATTGCATTAGATGCTATTAAGCATTTCAGAGGCAATTTAATAAAGTGTGTGATTAGTGCCTCACTTCCTGATGGTCATTCTGACAGGAGCACCAGAGTAACCTGAGTGCTGATTTCAAACCTAGCCCTTCAGTGAGTTTTTTAGAAGGCTGCTGTAACAGCCTTTTATAAGAAAACTCTGTCAATAAATGTTTCTCTTCTGAATTCGTCTCAAGTAAATAGCCTCAAGGAAATATTCCTGTGGTTCCTGAAAAATAGCAAGCAGAAGATACTTTACACAGACCAGGGTAATCATAAATTTGGCACCTTTTTTGAAATATAAGATGTGCTCCCTCCTCTGGGCTGATGAAGCTGCTGTCAGGGCACAATGGGTGGCATACAGAGAGTGAATGGGCTGAATTTCAGCCCTCACTCAGGCCCCCTGCAGGTGCCTTTGTACATTTGCAAACTGTGTAATCCTGTCTAGTGACCCTGGGTCAGAACCACTGTTGCTTCATTGCATTTGGCTTTATTGCATATAGTCCTTCAATCTGAATGTTTTAAGTACCCACTACATGGCATGCTCTATATTAAGTATAGCATTACAGAAGCTAAATGACGTGTTCCTTTAATTGAGTGCTTACCCTACAGCAGCCCCTTGGCCAAATATTTCATATTTATTAATAATAACAACAACACCATGAGCTAAGTTTTATTGTTTTAATTTTCCAACTAAGGAAGCTTCTCGGCTTTAAGTATCTTGCCTGTAGTTACACAGCTAGGAAGGGAAGGTGCTGGGATTCAAAGCCTTTTTTTTCCCCTGATTCTAAGTGTCCTGTTACTATTTACTACAAAAGCAGGACTTTCAATGAATTTATATATTAGAGAGGAGACAAATATACCAACAGATGGTTACAATACAAGTGTAAGTGCTATTCAGGTGGGATGCCTACTTAGATGTAGAGAGAAAGTTGTCAGGGGCCAATTTCCAGAAGCAGTTGTCCTTGAGTTTTGAAGAAGTTTCTACAAACATATGGGAATCCAAAGGTTAATAAACCAGAATGCAGGCTGAAAAACTTGGCTACACTTCAGAAAATAAGTTGGAATAGGTTTGTGTGTTTTAGTGATTATTTTAAGTTATCATATACCAAATGAAAATAATTGACTGGTAAGGCTATCAATCTTCCTGCACGTTAAAATTATCTGAGTAGAAGAACAACATAAATGAACTTTGAAGACATTATACTGGATGAAATAAGCAGACACAAACGGACAAATATTGTGATTCTACTTCTAAGGGATACCTGCCATAGTCAAATTCATAGAGAGAGAAAGTAGACTAGTGGTTGACAGGGGCTAGTTATTCTTTAACAGGTACACAATTTCAGCTGGTAATGTTGAAAAAGTTCTGGAGACAGACAGTGGTGATGGTTGCATAACAATATGAATATTGTTAATGCCATTTAGCTGTATACTTAAAAATGGTTAAGATAGCAAATTTTATGTTAAGTATATTCTACAACAATTAACAAAATAGAGTGATTTCTTGGAACCTACCCTATGACCTCTTGAATCAGGGTATCCAATGACTTTACGGTTCGGAAACAACTGGCCCAGGACATTTTGACCAAAGATCTGTTATAAGAATCTGCTGAACTGAATTACATTAAAATGAAATCTGAAAGTTCATAGTTAGATATAGTGTAGTTTTAGAAGACGGTTTTAAAGACAACAGTTTTAGGATTTGTGTTGTTTTCATAACTGATATTTGTATAGTGATTTAATTTTAAATGTATTCTCTTCTATTATTTTATGGCAGCTATCTGGTATTGCTTGGCCTGACTTCTTATTTGTATGTTAGAGATGAGAACACTGAGTTTCAGTGAGTTAGTGTTGCCTATCTGTTACACATGCTGCTATAGTTACGATGATAAGGAAGATGCCTAACTGATGAGAATAGAACTCTTGTCTAAATGAGAATTATAGGGATAATAGAGAAAGTTCACAGATTTCTTTTTTGAATCATTTAAAAATTGTTATATTTGCTGCCACATTAAATTAATCATCTGGACTGAGACTTATTGAATGAATGGAGAGGTGTCGAAGAATTGAGTTTCCATGAGAAAAGGCATAAAGCTTAAGGCTTACATAGAGAAGGGCAGCGTTTGGCTGTTTTTCTTAGCAAGAGCAGGACAGAACTGGATGAGTAGTGAAGATGACAAAAGGCTCCTCTTTAGAGCCCTGTCCTTGAACTTTTCAGTTTCTTCTGGGTGTGTCCCTTTCCTCAGGGGGAATCAAGAGAATGTGTGTTGCCCAATCCCTTCTGGAGTAAGAATCAGGACCTTGGGATTTCTTGCCCACATGTTCCTGAGCTCACTTCCAGTATCTGCATGGGCCTGTTTCCCAGGCTTTTTCTTCCTGCCCTGTCATTTTGCCCAACCCATGTCTGAGCATTGGCCAAAAGGCCACGGTTTCTGTGTGTTTGGAGTGGACTGATTTTGGTAGACAAAGCTTGGCTGCACCGGGAACCAGAGTCCTGAAAATGCTAGGGATCCATCTGTAGGGCAGTTTATTCAAATATAAATTGTTAAAATATCTTCCCTATATTGTTCTCTTTTTCCTTTCCCAAGCAGGTGGTTAGGCTCTTTCCGTCTATTGGTCTCAGGGTTTTTGGTCAATACTAGAAGCGTCTAGAAGATAAGGTGCTTCTTATGTATTTTTAAAGCCTAGATTCATTGGAATCTAAGAGTGTCTGGAGTCAAATGGAGAAAGACAAGGACCTTGGAGAAATTTCCCCAAGAGTGGGTTTCTCTGCGTGCAATTGCCTAGAGAGGTTGACCTGAAGCACCAGAGCTCCCAGCCTGACAGAGGTTCCCTTTCTCCTCTGTGCACACAAAAGCAGAGAGCCATTGGACTCCAAGGGCCCCTTGTGACATTGATAGCAGGGAAGTTAACAATTTTGCTCCCCACCTTTTGGACATGACACGCTTCCTAGATTCAGGTAGGACCTTGAGGAAGAGTTAAACAATGAATGTGATTTAATATCTTCCTGAAAAAGAAAGGCTGGTACTCCAAATCAAACACATATGATTTGATTTTAAAAATGAAGAAAAGGATATTTCCAGCACTCTTTGAGTCTAGACTGAGGTTCATATCTGATGTACTAGAAATTTGTTTTGATTACTGAAGGTCTTAAATAATAACAGCATTCAGAACATTTTGCATATACTGTATCATAATTGTGGTAGCTGCTGAACTTTATTAAGCATTTATTATGTGCCAGGTACCTTCTTAATATGTCATACCTACTATTTTTCTTGTGTTTGCCACAACTCTATGCAGAAGGTGATATCATCTTATTTTTGAGGTAAAGAATCTGAGGCCTGGCATGGTGGCTCATGCCTGTAATCTCAATACTTTGGGAGGTTGAGGCAGAAGGATCACTTGAGGCCAAGTGTTCGAGACAAGCCTGGGTTCATAGTGAGACCCTGTCTCTACAAAAAAATAAAATAAAAATTAGCCAAGTGTGGTGCAATGTGCCTGTATTCCTAGCTACCCAGGAGGCTAAGCTTAGGTGACAGAGCGAGACCCTGTCTCTTAAAAAAAAAAAAAAAAAAAAAAAAAGAAAAGATTCTGAGATGCAGAGAGGTTACATAACTGGCCAAAACATAGTTAATAATTAGTAGCAGAGCCTAAACTTAACCCGATTTCTTTTGATTCTAAAACTCATATGCTAACCCAGTATACAATTCTCCAGTATAAGGAGTTTAAACTTTTATCACATATGTAATAAAAATACAGTATATTTTGTATCTCAGGAGTGGTTTGCTTTATTTAAAGTATTTTTATGTGAAAATAAATTTGAATTCTCCTAATCTGGCAAGATAATAGACAGCTATTAATAGGTTGTGGCCATTGCGTGATAAGGGCTAAACATTGCTAAAAGAAAATAAATCTGGCAGTGATGTGTAAAGTAGATTGAAGTCAGATGTGGGACAAGAAACTAAGAGAAGAAAGACCAGTTATAAGACAATTGCATAATAGACTGAACCAGGATAAATGCCAAATCATCCAGTTAAGGGAGAAAAGTATACTTGATGCAGAAAATGTCTAATAAGCTTGCTAAGGGGAATAATTAGGTAGCTATAAGGTTGAGGACCTTTAATCCTTCATCAATATGGATTGATTTTTTTAGTAAGTCCGAGATTTCTGCTTTTATTCTTTTATTCTGTAAGGAAGTCACTGGCACAGAAATAAACAATACTTGTCAATGTTGGTGGCACTAATTTGATGCAGAGATGATTTCTTATATGAGAATCAGAAGGCTACTCTTCTCCATATGCTTCCCAGAGATAATTAATATAACTCTGTATGCTTCTTCCTAGGTAGAGGACATTGTTGAACTATTTGCAGATTTCTGTTTGTTCAGATGTTTTGGCTTATAGATATGGGGCTAAATCTGATATTCTTTGGTTATATTTTAAAACTATAATCTTTTGAAAATATCAAACCCTTTATTACTAACTTAGAAAATAACTCGCTTATTGAATATTTAAAAATTAAATTGTTTTTATTGGTTCCTTTCAACCACAAGGAGCCATCCTTGTCTCTTCTCTTCTCTTTCATTCCACATTCAGTCTACTAGGAAATCATGTTGCTTCTGCTTTCAAAATATAACAGAGCCCAGCTGCTCCTCATCTCCTCCTTTGCTTCCATGCTGTCCAGCCCTCCATCCTCTGTCATGCAGTGGACTCTCATCTGGTCTACCAGCATCCCCTTTTACTACTTTACAGTTTATTCTCCCTAAAACTGGCAGAAGGATTTTTTTTTTTCATGTGTAAATAAGATAAATCACACCTAGACTGAAAATCCTGCAATGGCTCTACATTTCACTCAGAATAAAGCTAAGCTCTTACAATGATCTATAAGCCCCTTTGTGACCTGACCCCACCCTTACCTCTTGATGTCTACTAATCTCCCTCTTTTCCCCAGTTCACTGAAGTCTAGACACTCTGACCTCTTTGCTACTCCTGGAATCTACCAGGCACTTAAAAACCCTTGGCTCACTCTGTTCACTCTGCCTGGATGCTCTTCCCCAGAATCCAGTTATCTATCTCCCTCACCTTTCTCAGGTTTCTGCTCAGATCTTACCTTTAAAGTGAGGACATCCTGGTTACCCTGTTTAATCTTTTAACTTGCCCCTCTTTCCATTGTAATAACTGCTACCCTGTTCATCTTTAAATCATATAAAATTCTGTAGCCATTATCTAATGTAACTCTATGATATAGATGTATATTTAAAATATGTATAATATACATTACTTATTATATTTATTCTTTATTTTCTATTTCCTTGATGAATAAGCTGAAATCTTTTCTTTGGTGCACTGATGAATCCTAAATGCCTAAAACAATTTCTGGCTCATGAGTTACTCAATAAGTTTTGATGAAGAAACAAATTAATTAATTAAACAACAATTTTTTTCCAATATTAAAAAAAAATTTTGGCCAGGCACAGTGGCTCATGCCTATAACTCCAACAGTTTGGGAGGCAAAGGAGGGAGGATCACTTGAGGCCAGGTGTTTGAAACCAGCCTGGGCAACATGGTGAGACCCTGCCTCTTCAAAAAACTGGTGGCACACATCTGTAGTCCTAACTACTCAGGAGGCTGAGGCAGGAGAATTGCTGGAGCCCAGAAGGTTAAAGCTGTGATCTGCAGTGAGTTATGATCATACCACTACACAACAGCATTGGTGACAGAGCAAAACTCTGTCTCTAAAAAAGAAATAATATTTTTTTCTTTAAATGGGCCCATTCAGATGCATTTTATCTACTTATAACCATAATTGTGCACTTTATATTTTTGGTATTATAAGAATATATTTACAAAACAGAAAGTTTGAAAATATAAGAAAGTAGTGAGAGAGAAAAAACATAAGACTAATACTAATTCCACCTAACACAATATCTGTTAACCTTTTGATTTTTTCCTGCAAAGCTCTATTCACAATTGTAAGAAGTTTCTGTAAAATGTAATAATTCCATTGTATACATAAGTTTTAGTATCTTCTCTTAATATTATCTTGTAGGTATTCCGTGTTTTACATATTTTTCATCAATACATCAATTTTAATCACCATGTCAGTGATTCTTCAACTTAGGTTGGTTATATCTGTTAGTATTTACTGCATTTGGAATTAAAAATGAAAATATTTGAAAAATATTTATTCACTAATTCATTTGGAAACCTCAATAATAAACATATTATATTGTAACATAAAGTCTATTTTTAATTAAAATAACCATATTTTCCCAAATCAAAAAAAAATAAAATAGAAAGGAGTTTAAGTTTACAATTATACATCTCAGCACTTTGGAAGACCGAGTAGGGTGGATCACTTGAAGTCAGGAGTTCGAGACCAGCCTGACTAACATGGTGAAATCCTCATCTCTACTAAAAATACAAAAAATTGGCCAGCTCATGCCTGTAGTCCCAGCTACTTAGGAGACTGAGGCAGGAGAATCTCTTGAACTTGGGAGGCAGAGGTTGCAGTGAGCCCAGATCCCACCATTGCACTCCAGCTTGGGCGACAGCGTGAGAGTCTGTCAAAAAAAAGAAAAATGTATATATATATATATATATATATACAAATTTCTCAATATCTAACTATCTAACTTGATAAAAGACTGGATTCTCATATTGATATGGTTTGGATGTGTGGCCCCCTCCCAATCTCATATTGAAATGCAATCCCCAGTGTTGGAGGTGGAACTGAGTGGGTTGTGTTGGATCATGCGGTTGCATACCTCATGAGTGGGTTAGTGCCATGCCCTTGGTGATGAGTGAGTTCTCACTCTATTAATTCTCATGAAAGCTGGTTGTTTAAAAGAGCCTGGCACCTCTCTTACTCTCTCTCTCACCATGCTATGCGCCTGATCCTTTATTGTCTTCCACCATATTTTAAGTTTCCTGAGGCCTTCACTGAAAGCCAAGTAGATGCTGGTGCCATGCTTTTACAGCCTGCAGAATCATTAGCCCATAGAAACTTCTTTTCTTTGTAAATTACCCAGCCTTAGGTATTCTATTATAGCAATGCAAAACAGACTAACATACATATCTTCTTCTGCATTCAATCTGTTGAATTTATGTGGTTGAGGTTGAAATATATGAAGAAAATACAACCTCACAGATATATGTAGCAGCAAAAGGGAGGTTTACGATAATAGCCTTTCAAGATAATGTGGACATTCTTTTTTGTGATTTCATCCTTCATTAACATCCAACAAGTGGCAGTTCCTTAAAGGTTAGTTGCAATATGGACTCTGAAACTATAGCAATAAACTTTTCATACTCTATTATAACATCAAAATCCATTGATCCACCTTATAATTTGAATGAATCATTTACCAATGTGTGATTTTTATAACATTATGCTTTGGTCATTTGGAAATCATTGGCTCACTGAGTTATGCAAAATTTCCAACATAAAAAAATCATATTTCTTAATGTCATATTTCTTAACTACTGATCTTAGCAGAAAAAGTCTTCAAGTATTAGAAAGCTTTTATGCTTACAGTGGCAGATAAAAGTTTTCTGAAGTTTTAATTTTTGGTTGAAAGTTTGAATTTTATCATAGGCAAAAACCACTGTCTGTTATTGCCCTTTAAGTGATGGACTTAACTTTGTTCATTTTGAAAAATAGGCTGCCAAAACCCATATTTTTTTTAAATCATTTTCTAGTAAAAAATGGTGTTCCATGAAAAAAGTGGCTAACTCGGCTTGTAACTCCAACAACCATTCAAATGATTTTGCTTGAGACAACTTTCATACTTCAATATTTTGTCACACACACAATATCAAAAACATGTATACAAAATTTAATTTAAAGAATTAAATTTAATAAAATTAATAACTTTTACTATTTCAGGAAGAATTTCATACTTTAAAGTAAAACTGGCATGTTATTTATCTTTTTCTATGGTGAGTGTGTGGTGAATAAGAAAATAACAACTAGTATAGTTTGGTGTTACTGCTTTGATTTGTACTGAGAGCCACCATCACTTTTGCAGCATCAATGCAAATGTCAACATAGTCATTCCAGGATAAGCCTTAAGAGTCAAAAAGTTATTCAAGTCCATCTTTTAAAAAGTTATTCAACACTGAATAGCACAGTTACCACTTGTGTTCATTGCCACATATTCATGTAAATGATAATTTCTTTAATGATTAGTTTGTTCTGGTACTAGAAGAATGATTAGTTTGTTCTGGTTCTAGAAGCAAATCCAGCCATGTCTGTAGCTTCATTCATTTGTAAAGCAAAAGTACAATTGTGCAGACAGGATCTTAACTCAGTCTTTGTTTTGAAGCTAAGCCTTTAATTCCAGCAAGGTACCATACCGTTTGAAAGATGCAGTGCAATAATTTCTTTTACTGACTTTGCATCTGGCACGCATTCAACAAAGCCAACTTTACAGGGTTTCATTTGTCTCTTAATTATTGTGTGATCTTCTCTAGTGAATGCAATATGGTAACTGACCCGTAAGATGCTTGACTGATTTTCAGTTTTAAGTTGAAAAGCTATACAGAACACTTTTCCTTTAGAAAATGCATCATGTCTACATTTTAAAAATTCAATTTCTTTTTCTTTAAAGTCTGAATGATTTGTCTCAAAATGGTGTCACAACTTAGCTGGCATGATAATCTTTCCAAAAATGTTGTTTTATAACATAATAATGGAAATTATTATCTATACCATGAGAGAAAGATAGCTTTCATCCTATTTGTATTTCTTATTTACAGTGTTTCCAAGTTTCTTTGGATTCTCTATCTATCTTACATGAGTCAGGAACTCTCTGATGTGACATTTAAAAAATATCATTGATAAATAATAATTACACATACTTATGGAGTACATGTGATATTTTGATGCATTTTTATATTTTCCAAGTGTCTTTGGACTTAAAGATTGACTGCTGTGACTTGAGAATATGAGTCTTCTAATCACCTTTTCAAAGCGATAATCTATTCTTAAATTAAGAAAATATAATATAAACTTTTATTTTTTATTTTTGTTTTTATTTTTTGAGATGGAGTTTTGCTCTCGTTGCCCAGGCTGGAGAGTACAGTGGTGTGATCTCAGCTCACCGCAACTTCTGCCTCCCGGGTTCAAGCAATTCTCCTGCCTCAGCTTCCCAAACACCTGGGATTACAGGCATGTGCCACCATACCCAGCTAATTTTGTATTTTTAGTAGAAACGGAGTTTCTCCATGTTGGTCAGGCTGGTCTTGAACTCCCGACCTCAGGTGATCTGCCTGCCTAGGCCTCCCAAAGTGCTGGGATTACAGGTGTGAGCCACCACACCTGGCCTTAAACTTTATTTTATTAACTTCTTAATAAGTACTATACACTTCTAAAATTATAAGTAAGATAAAATTTTAAATGTTATAAATGTTTTAAAAATATGTAAAACTGTTATTGAAAAATAAGGTATCCAAATGTATTTACTTGTTGTTTTTCTACTCAGGCACACAGAAAACTTAAGGATTTCAAAAGAATGACCTAGTGGATGATGATAATAAGGTTACAGAGATTATAGCAGGTGTAATGACTAGTAAGAGCACAGTAGAAGTGCTAATAGCATACTAATTTCTGTAAACAGCACACCTATCATAAACCTACTACCTTAAAAATTATAGAAGACCCAAGAACAAACAAGCATGCATCCCATTAGTCATTAAAGTGATAATATCATTCTATGTCAGGTGATCTCTAGAGAATTCTACTGTGTACATGTGAAATAATAAGTGAAAAAGGCAAACTCCAATTTATGGAAATAGTTTTGACCTTTGAAGACCCATACAAAAGGGTCACAGGAAATCCCTGGGTTCCCAGACCACATTTTGAGAACTCCTGCTGCATGTAATTATGTTATTCTATATGTGCTCCCAATTTTTGTTTTTATTGACACATGCTTTAATAAAATTTTTTGTACCTAGGTTTTCCCCCTCTTAGCTATTGTTTTCATGTAATAGGTTAACATAAATAAAATTACTAAGATGAATTAAGAAAATGGGACATCTACTAATACAGCTGTCCTCTTCAAAATGTCAGTGTCATATGGGCAAATGTGGGAGGGTTGTCGTAAAATGAGAGACTATAGAGAGGAATAACAGCCAAAAGCAGTGTTCAGATTTTGACTGGACTTGGTTTGAAAACAAAACAAAACAAAAAACAATTGATAAAGACACTTTTGGACAATAGGTAATATTTGAATGTGGAATAAATACTAGATGATAGTGTAGATTTATAGTTAATTTTGTTAGGTATGATCATGGTATTAAGGCTATATACTTAGGAGAATGTTTTTATTTTTAGGATGTGTATGCTGAAGTATTGAAATTGTTTCATATTGGCAACTTACTCTCAAATGTTTCA
Organism: Homo sapiens; assembly: GCF_000001405.40. NCBI lineage: Eukaryota > Metazoa > Chordata > Mammalia > Primates > Hominidae > Homo > Homo sapiens. The sequence continues at coordinate 51,903,484 of NC_000010.11, forward strand.
TTCAAAAATAACTGTATATCCGTTAATCTATGCACACACACAGAAGAATACATGGATTGAGAGTAGATAAACAAAAAATGATACATGTTAACAGTTGTGATTCTGTGTGTTGGGGATAGAGGCAATCTTTATTATTCCAGACTTTCAATTTATTTGACATGCTTTATAATAAAATGTTTGGAAATAAATGAAGTCACTAAATCAAATGTTACTAATATTATTTATTTATTTCCATATCACTATCTAAAAGAGTAAAGTGTTGTTTTGAAAGGCATTTTTTAGTATATTCATTGAAAAGTATGTAGCTCAGTGAGTAAGCAATCAACTCCACCATCATTTACAGGGGATGTTTCATCCTTTCTTCACCAGTGCTGAGTGGAATGACCTCAGGCAGACTTTCAAGGTCTCAGTTGTCTTATCTATACAATAGATGACAATAAGAATGGCTATTTGATAAGGTTGTTGTAAAAATGAAATTTATATTATCTATAAAACCCTTAGCTCAGTGCCTGGCAAATAGAAACTACTCAAATCTCATCTTCTATTATTGTCATTACAAATTGTAAGTCGTTGCTACATTCAATTAGAAAAACCAATGGAAAAGCACTGCACATTAGATCATCTCTATTATATTACATTCTAGTGCATTCTGTAACTTCGGGCCTATTGCAAGTCCTTAGGGAACCAAAACAATAGGTAATGCATCTGTAAGAATTACTCATAATTAGCATGTAAATTGTTACAATAAATTATTTTTTTTTGCATAACTGAAAATATTCTTCTCTAATGTTTAAACATTTTATCTGGAAGTTTGTCCTTGCAATTATTTTGCTTTCAGTTTTCTAAAGGATAGAAAACTTTATTTTGAATTATTTTATATATAATTTAGTGGAGTCTAAAATGATGTATTTTGATGTATTGGAGGAAACTAAACTAATATATTTCGTGGGTAGAATTTCAAACTATAAACATTCTGAATTGTTTTGTTCCTAGTGTGTATGCTACTAGTAGACCAGTCATTTTTAGAAAGCAAATTAATTACGTGACAGAATTTATCTAGTGTTTGCAGAATATAAATCTTAGAATTGTAAAGATGGCTAGAAAAGTGTTTTCACAGTAATTTATGACAGTGAAGGCACTTATTTTTCCTGTTAAATGGTTTTCTTTTTGTGAAGTCCAGAAGTGCTTCAGTTGTTACTGGTAATATTTTAGAGTGTTTCTTCTTAAAAATCATCCTTAATTTGTATTAGCAATAAATGCTGCTCAATGTTTTGAGGCATTTAAAAGAGGCATTTAAAATTGTGAAAGATGATATATTTAAAATGCCATCCTAAAACCTGATGCTTTTGTTTTCACTTAATGCATTATATAGTCAAGTAAATTTCTTCTCTTGGATAAGAACTCTCATGGAAATGAAAATACTGTATTATGGCTAGGAATAGCCAGAGCCTAAAGTAAAATAATAGGTGTAGTATAATAGGAATAAGCTGGTCTAAAGAAGGAAGCCAATTATAATAAAATGAGAAAAACTCAGTTCTAGTTTGTATTTTCCAGGAATACCTAATGGGATAGAAGCACTCTAATTATTCATCTCAGAAGAAACTGAAATATAGCTCATTAAAAGAACAAGGCAGGACTAAATTTTTCAACCTACATAACTCATGGCAACAGCTTCCTCTATCTCCTTCTGTCTTTATGTGATATGGTCCATCCAGCTGCTGAAATAGACTGCCTTCTGGAAATTAAACCCCACATGGCTCAGACCATAGCAGTAAATCTGGTGCAACAGATGGTCCTGGGTGAATTGTTACACCTCTGCATAAAACCTTGGGATTTCATCAATAAGCCTTACCCTAAGTAATGGAAATCAAAGTGACAAATTAACAACAAAATGTTCATGCTTTTACCAAAAGAGAGCATTATTGTTTCTTTTATGGTATCATTGTAATCAAGCCAAAATTATGCTGTAAGTCAAACATCAGGCATACAAATGTATATGCACTCAGTTATAGCCTTTTCTCCATTCAGATATTAAGCTATGATTAATTAAGACTATAGTTCCACATCCCAGTTAGATTTTCCAGTGAGGTTTCAGGAATTATATGTTGATAACCTTTTGTTTTTTTTTATTTAAAGTTATTATAATTTTGCATAAAGTAAGTTTTATTGGTTTGTGCATTTGACATCATTTAGTATTTTTATGTACTGTTTAATGGGGAGAAATAAGAGAACAGGATGAAAAGAAGGGAACTAACATTGTATTTTGATGTATTGGAGCAAACTAAGCTAATATATTTCATGGGTAGAACTTTTCAGGTCTAATCACTGTCCTATGAAGCATTCACAAATCCATGCTTTCATAACTACATTCAAAATATGTTGTTTGTTATTTATAAATCGCTGAAAATACAGGGGGTTGAAAAAGACAGACATAGTTCTTATTTTTGTGGATTTTTAATTCTAGCAGAGAAGACATTCAGTAACAAAAATCCAATTAATTATCTAATTACACTTGTAGTACGAGATTAAAGAGATCGTGATAGGAGAACTTGACCTAGCTGGAGAGGGGTTGAGGAGAGTGGGAAGCTTTCCAAAGTTGTTAAGTGAATGTTTGCAGATCTGAATGCATCATCAATCAACCTGTGTCTTCAATAATGGTTAGGAGTCGGCCTGGAGAAAGGTGTGTGTATGGAGGAAGACCTGGAAAGGGAAATAGAGCTTGAAGGAACCTGGTGACAGCAGACTAACAGAGGAGAGAGTGTTTTTCTCCTCATTATATGTTGAGGCACCTATCAACAAAAAGAGTCAAACTCTGTAAAATATTTGAAGAGATTCATTCTGAGCCAAATGTGAGGACCACGATCCATGACACAGCCCCAGGAAGTCCTGAGAACATATGCCCAGGGTGGTTGGTTTACAGCTTGATTGTATACATTTTAGGGGGACAGAAGTTACAGGCAGACATCCATCAGTACATATAAGGTATATATTGGTTTGGTCTGGAAAGGCGAGAAACTCAAAGTGGGAGCTTCTAGGTCATAGGTGGATTAGAAGGTTTTCTGATTGGCAATTGGTTATAAGAGTTAAGTTATTATCTGAAGACCCAGAATGAATAAAAGGAGTTTCTGGATTAAGATAAGGGGTTGTGGAGACCAAGGTTCTTATTATGCAGATGAAGCCTCCAGGTAGCAGGCTTCAGAACTCTTATCAGACATAAAAAGATGCCAGACTCTTAGTTAATTCTCTGCTAGATTAGGGAAAAGACCTGGAAAGCAAAGGGGATTCTGTATAGAATGTAGACTTTCCCCACAAGAGACAGCTCTACAGGAGAGAAATAATTTTCAAAATATGTCAAAGGAATATATTTTGGGGTAAAATACTTCAATTTCTTTCAGGGTATGCTATCTGTCATGTGATTCTATACTAGAGTCAGGTTGGAATTTGGTATCTTATTTCTATAAAGAGTCTGTTTTGTCAGTCTTAAGATTTCTATTTTAAGACTTACAATGAGACTTAAGATTTCTATTTCTATTTGAATGTTAATTCTAGTAAGTTGTGACTGAAATCCAAAGGCAGGAGGGTATAATGAGGCATGTCCAATCCCTTCCTTCCCATCATGGCCTGAACTAGTTTTTCAGGTTTACTTTGGAATGCCCTTGGCCAAGAGGGGCATCCATCAGTTGACTGGGGGGCTTAAAATTTTATATTCGGTTTACATATCCATGGTCACACAGGTAAATGTAACAGTGATTTGGACTCAGTCTGTCCAAACTCCAAGTTTTTTTTTCATACTCCATGCCTTTTCCCTGTTAGACATCAAACCATGCTTAAATGATTGCTTTGATCTTCATCTGCAACTTTGTTCTTTTTTTTCAGGTTGTGTGGCTAATGCATTTTTTTTTTTTTGGCAGATTCCTTGTCATGAAATAGTTTTGTATTTTAATTAGATTCATGGTCATTTTTATTACTTATGAAAGTAAGTTGTGGTTCATGTGTTCAGCACTATTCTGTTTTGTTTTTCAGCGTTCCAACATTCCAGAGCCTTCCTGAAGAGATCCTCAGCAAGCTTGCTGATGTCCTTGAAGAGGTAATTGTTTTTAGCCTTTGAACTTTTTGAGATGGGATCCAGCCTGCTTGGCTGGCTTCTTTCACAGCTGTGTGATGAGGAATCACAAACTGCAGAGATCTTTAAAAAATTTCTAAGCTCTGGGATGAGCTATATATTTGGCTTCGTATAGAAAGCAGCTTATCATGTCTGACATTTATATGCAGAAAGGTGCAAATCAACCTAATTATAGAGGGAGACAAACTTTTTGTTGTGATAAATACCATGTTACTTTGACTTACTAGAATAGGAACTGGCATATTTCTCTTATTTTAACTAGTGTAAAGTAAAATTGTAGTTATCACCACTCTGAAGCTTCAGATTAGCAATTTACAACTAGGATTAGTAGTTGGGCACATATTTTATTACCATATAAGTATGTTTGATACACATAATTTTCTGCCTGAAAGTGGAATGCCACTTTTAGTTGTTTTTCTCTGAACCCACAAAGCTATGGTTTTGAGAAAGAGGAGAAACAACACACATTAGGCTATCCTTTTGTAGACTGGGATTCATAACAGCAGCAGCAGGAGGAAGTTTTTCTGTTCAAATTGATGAGCTTTATACGGAATGTAGTCTAAAGTTGTTCTCCTAAAGGTATTGGGCATATGAGTTTTGTTTCAGGTCGAAAAGATTAAAAAATTGTCTTTTCCTGTTTGCTGAGGAAATAGAGATACATTGGTGGTGTAGGAAATTTCAAACTTTTTCTCTAAAGGTTAAAGTCTAAGTCTTTTGAAGTGAATTGACAATAGAGAGATTAACAGGAGAAAATGTCATACAGGAATAGTGTATGGGGGAGGTCATGGTGACAGAATTGGAGGATGGAGTCAGAAAAAGGTGTGTCTAGAGTGCTATAAGTGCAGCCAAGTAATGGAGAGCCACTTAGGACATTGCAATTAATTTAGCTTTTACTTAGAGTGAGATAGAAGTCACTGGATGGCTCTAGGCAGAGCAATGAACTTATTTGACTTAGATTTTTAACAAAATTGTTGTGGCTGCTGTGTTGAAAAAATAAATAAAGAAGCTGCTACAATAATCCAGGGAACAATAGTGGTGACTTTGTTCACTGTGGGAGAAGGAGATTGAAAAATCATCAGATTGTGACTCTCTCTCTCTCTCTCTCTCTGTCTATCTATCTATATGTAATTTTTTTTTTTTTGAGACAGTGTCTTGCTCTGTCGCCCAGGCTGGAGTGCAATGGCGTGATCTCGGCTTACTGCAACCTCCACCTCCCTGGTTCAAGTCATTCTCCTGACTCGGCCTCCTGAGTAGTTGGGATTACAGGTGCCTGCCACCATGCCCGGCTAATTTTTTTGTATTTTTAGTAGAGACGGGGTTTCACTATGTTGGTCAGGCTGATCTCAAACTCCTGACCTCGTGATCTGCCTGCCTCGGCCTCCCAAAGTGCTGGGATTACAGGCATGAGCCACCACACCCAGCCGATTGTGACTATATTTTGAAGGTAAAACTGAAAAGCTTTACCATTGCAGTAAACTTGTAAAATGAGAGAAAGAGAGGAATCAAGGGGAAACCCTGAGGTTTCTGTTGTAAATAATTAGAAGGATGGAGTTGTTATGAATTGACGTGAAGAAGACTGGAAGAACAGTACACTGAGGTGGAGAGATAAGAAGCTCAGGGAGAGAGGCTGGAGTAAAATCAGAAGCTTAAGTGATCTTTGGCAGGTAGATGGTTTCTTGTAGCATTGTTTAAGTAGAGGGAGCTATTGGCTATCTGAATATCATTCTGTGGGACCAAATGCGGATGAATACAAGGCAGAACCCTGAAGGAGGGAGCAGCCAACAATTATTATAAAACCATGAATCGATCTTAAAAACATCATGCCGAGAGAAAAGCTTAAAACCAAAAAAAAAAGAGATAGTTATTGAAAGATCATTTACATATACGAAGACATATGAGCACAAAAATACATTTTGCTGGGAGTCCTGACAAAATATTGAAAATTGGATATACGTGAACAGTGGTCTGTATCAGAAAAGGGAAGGGAGATCTATAGGGATAAAAGGGAATGAATGAATGAATGAATGAAGAGGAAGGCATAAGGCCTTGACTGATTCTTCACATTTCTACTTTAAGAGACTGAGGAATGAAGAGGGACCAGGAAAGCCTGTGGAAGTAGGAGGAAAATCAGGAGCTTTTTGCTTGTTAAAATCCAAGAGAAGAGAATAACTTAGAGAAGAGTCAGCAAAGCTTGGATTTTAATTTAGGTGAAAAGATAAGGAGAGAAATGGGGTCAACAGGTAGGAAAGGGAAAGTCAGGTTGAGAGAAGAACAGAAGATATTACTGAAGCAGGGGACAGAGAGGTTTGCACACATAAGCCCCTTGAGTAAGCACAAGAGAATAGGCGCTGTAGTGCCTCTAGAAACAGGGAAGGTAGACTATCTGGTTACACATGCAGGTGGGTGGATTGATGTAATGGCTGGAGCTGTGGAAAGCCTATTCTGATATATTCTATTTTCATAGGATGCAGAAAGCAAGTATGATTGCTAGGCATCATTAAGGCCCTGCTTGATGTTAGTAATCCCAAATCTTATTCAAGATTATTGCAATAGGGGAAGGAGAATTAATTCCATGGAACAAAAGGTAGGAGAGCTTTTAAGCACTGGGGTGAGCTAGTGGAAAAGTCACATAGGTAAATCCAGTGGGGGTACTCTAGGAGGGAGGCAGTTGTTCATTGTGATTAGGCCATCTGTGTTTGCTATTTGTTCCTGATGGAAGTTAGGCTCCCATCCTCCCAAGAGACTGAGAGAAAAGGATCTGTCTCTTTTCTTCTAAGATTACATTTCAAAAGGATGGTTCCAAGGTCCTTGAGAAGGACATTCCTGGGGTGTGAAATCAGCTGGGAGAAGATTTTCATCACAAAGAGGCAGATTAAGAATTTTCAGTTGAAATTTCTTTAAAAGTAAGTGCTCCAAGTAAAGGGAAATCAGGAGCCTTGAGTCAGGAAGCTGACTGTCTAAAGTTTAGTCAAAAGTTTAGTCAAGCAGAGGGGAATATTAAGCCCTCTTGGACACTAGAACATTTGATTATGTGTCTGTTTTTTAGCCTCATTCGTTTACCTGGATTCACTTTCCAGGTAGATATAGAATTGGATTTAACCAGGATTGTTATTTTGCCAAGCGAAGATGGGTGGTTGATAGAGGGAATGGGGCGTTGAGTGCATATGGAGAGTGATTGTAATGATTGACCTTGGAATTTAAACAGGGCAAGGAGGAGACAAGCACCAGATGGGCAATGGCCAGTGAGAAGTGGTAGGATCAGTGACTTTTAGTCTCATGAGGTTAAAGAATTTCTGGAGTAGGGCTATAAGAAGGGATAAGTTAGAAAGATAGTGAAAATGCTTTTGTCTCTAGGTACTGACTATACCAGTAATTCTGTGATCCATATACAGATTCTTAGCTGGTGGTTTATTGAAGTCAGCTTTGCTGTGACTTACTGGTCTCCTTCATCTATGTGAACACAAAGTGAAGCAGAACATTGTCACATTTGACTCCTATGTTCAAGTATAAAAAATTTATGAGAAAAAGTACTGGCTATATTTCTCTCTGAATGTGCTGACCTATAACCTCTGTAAATATAAAACTACTTTTCCAAGTTGGTCTTTTGCCTTTTGCTTTTTTTATTGAATACACTGAAGACTCTCTGGTGACATTGTGTGTTGTTGTTTTTAAATCAAACTAAAGCACAAATTTATTAGCCCCAGTCAACCTCCTAAAAAAAAAAAAAAACCCAACAAAACAAAGACTTCATGAAATTCTTTAATCATTGTCTTTCTTTTCCACAGCTGTAAAAGTATTTGCTATTTTGTGTAACAAAAGCCATAGCTCTATAAATAATTCTGACCAAAGAAATGTTTTAGTATTTTATGTCAGATTTTCTAATCAGAAGATGCCTTAATTTGTGTTTGGATTGTGTGAGCCATAGTACAGTCCATACCAATGCTGAATTAAAATGGAAACAGATTATTAAGTACTCATACATTTGTTTTCAGGATGTAAAAATGAAGTAAACACACAAAATGCAAAGTAGACATGTAAATACAGTACCCAGTACAAACAAAGTGTTTAACTCAAGTTGAATAAACAGGCACAATGAGAAACTAAATTATATATCAGATAAAGTGAAGCAAATTTGGAAGAGCAAAAGCAATACTGAAGTCACATAACATTAAGGGGAAATGTGCTTGCATAATAATTGAGCTGTCTATCTCAAATAGCCACAAGAAGATGAAAGAACCCCAGATAATTTTGAAAGGAAAGCAGTACCATTAAAGCCTTCAACAAAGAAGTTTATAGCTTTGTTCGTTTGACAAATATTTATGGAGCACTTGCCATGTGCCAGGAATTGTTTCAGGGCCTGGAGATTCAGGACTGCGCTCTCTCATAGCATGTGTTTCAGTGAAGGATACTATGATAAGGAAGGAAGGAAAATAACATCAAGTGAGAAGGCTACTTCTGTAATTACTAAGGGAAGAACTCTCTGAGGAGGTGATATTTAAACCAAGATCTAAATGAACGTATGGGGAGCCATGTGCATCTGGTGGAAGGAAGAGCAGACACACCATTTTAAAGTAGGAATGAGTTTGCTGCTCTTAAAGAACAGAAGGAATATTTGTGGATGGTGGTAGTGTGTTGAGAGGAGGCTACAGAAAATTAAGCAGGACCAAGTTGCAGAGGGTTCTGCCAGTCATGATAAGGAGTCTGGTTTTTATTCTAAATGTAATGGGGAGATTTTTATGGTTGTAAGTAGTAAAGTGACATAAGCTGAGTTACGTTTTAATAACATCTCTCTGACACTTGTGAGAAGAATGGATTACTGAGGGAAAGGCCAGTTAGAGGGCTACTGCAAAATAACCCAGGTGAGGGTGGATGGTTTGCATGTGGACTTATTTCTTATTGACTATTCATTCTGAATATTCATTGTAAAACAATACTTCCAGCAGAAGAGAAAACAATTTAAAAGTAATATGGAAAGACAGAGACTGAGAGAAACAAGTGTAACCAGACAAAAAGAGCATTGAACATAATGATATTGAAAGTGATATGGATAGTTAAGTGTGACAAGAAGGCAAGGGTACAACACCTGGGGAATCTTGTTATGAAAATGAAAAAATTAAAATAAAAAATAAAGGATTTAGGAGTGATTTCTGCCATGGCCCACCCCAGCCCCCACCTACCCCCTTCTGAAATTTCTAGCATAAATATACCACCCACTTGTGAGTTTCTCCCCATGAGATTATAGTACAGGAATGAATCTCTTTATTCTTTTTGTTTGTTCATTGGCATTATTACTATTGTTTTAAAAATTCAACTTCTATTTTATTTTATTATTATTTTTTTGAGATGAAATCTCACTCTGTTGCCCAGGCTGGAGTGTAGTGGTGCGATCTCAGCTCACTGCAACCTTCATCGCCCCGTTTCAAGAGATTTTTGTGCCTCAGTCTCCCGAGTAGCTGGGATTACGGGTGTGTGCCTCCATACCTGATTAATTTTTGTATTTTTAGTAGAGACAGGGTTTTGCCATATTGGCCAGGCTGGTCTTGAACGCCTGACCTCAGGTGATCCGCCCGCCTTGGCCTCACAAAGTGCTGGGATTACAGGCGTGAGCCACGGCGCCCACCCAATTTCTATTTTAGATACAGGGGTACATGAACAGGTTTGTTACACGAGGATATTGCATGATGCTGAGCTTTAGGGAATGGATCTTGTCACCCAGGTAGTGAGCATAAGTATCCAATAAGTAGTTTTTCAACCCCCACGCCCTATCCTCCTCTAGTAGTTCACAGTGTCTGTTGTCCTCATTTTTATGTCCATGTGCACTCAATGTTTAGCTGTCACTTATAAGTGAGAACATGTAGTAATTTAATGAACCTTTTTCTCTTTCCTTTATATAACATACTAGAACAATTTCCTTTGTATAGTGAATCACTCCTTCTTCAAGAACAAATGAGAGTTTTCTCTAGTCTCTTTGAAAAGTTGTGTATACTTACAGGTATAGAGTTTCTTGGTCAAAAATCTGTCCAGACCAAACACAGTAATCTCAATATTTTCCTAGGCTGTGTTTTGAAAGACAAGTTCAAGTAATTTACTTGACTTTCTAAGTGTTCACTGTTATTGTCACTGTAGTATACTCTACTTATCCCATATTTGACTCAAATCGAGACAATAAATATTAGAGATTATTTTAGGACTCAGATTTATTTTGATAGAGAAGCCATTTTTAGTTTGTAAAATAGGAGTTTTAGGTGCAAGTATGGAACAGAAAACTCTGACTTTATAAACTGGTTGCATTAATCTCTATACTATCCCATATAGTACTGTGAAAATATGTATTTGAATTAATTGAATGTATTTGAGTCTATTCTGAGAGTCTAGGATGTACCTGGGGGAAGAGGAAAAAATTGTGAAATTATAAAACAGGATCCAATCTCCTCTTTCTTACTGTAACAAGCTAACTCATTTTCTTTCTTCTCTTATGTATACTAAGATAAGTCTCTATACATGAATTACATTTTTCAAATGGTTTGAAGAACCCCTAACTAATCTCCAGCTAAGAAATAGCTCCCTTTAATTATTGCTTACCCAATCACAATGGAGAAATGTCAGTGAGAAAATAAAAAAAAAAAAGTATTTATCTAAATGTTGAGGCTATGATGACATCTTTAAAGAAAGCAGCAAATAAAAACTTTTTTTCATAGAGAAAAGTAGCAAAGATTAACCTAATATGTCACAAAAAGCACTTAAAAGTCAATTTGAATCAGGGGTTATACATTCACAAATGGGGGAGTAAAAGTTGAGATACCTTGAGGAAAACCGAACTTTATTGAAAACACCAAATTGGAGAACCAAATTAAGTCAACAAATTCACTTTTTACCACCTGGTGTGAGTACCATTCCTTTATCTATGTGAAGAGAAGTGGGGCATGGATGCTATGTTTAGATCTCCTGATTTTTAGGTAGAAAACAAAGCATATCAGAACCACTTCTTTGCTTGTATTAAAGTCAATTTCATGTCCAATTTTCCCTTTAAAACATTTGATTAGATTTTCTTGGAATAAAAGACTTCTGTCTCACTAACTTTTTAAGAACTCTCTACCTTTGATTTGCAATTTTGCATGATTGGATCTTGGAAACATTTCATCCTAACTTATGAGTTGTTCTGATTTGTGTCCCTGGATGGTGCACTTATGTACGTTATTATCCACTGGATATTTATACTTCTATGGCACCGATAAGGTCTTGGGCAAATAACATTTCTTACTTACTAAATTATTAATTGGAACATTATAAGAAAGTTTTTTAAAAAAGACAAAAAAATAGGCAAAGAGAGAAAACATATTTCAACTCACCCTTGCTTAATGATATAGTAGGAAGTACATATCAGATTATACATTCCAGGGACCCTCTTGGGAAAAGGAGGTTAATGTAGCCAACTTACTCTTACTTGCTGCCAGGTCCAGCAGGCTGATTAAATAATTTAGTTGTTTTGGCTGTGCAGCTGTTCCTCAGTTTTACTGTCCTGTGTTGACATCATCCCAGACTCCTTTGCATTCTCTCCAACTGTGAGTAACAGAGAAAAAGTCCTGCCTTAGGCGGAGTTATTGGAGTACTGTGAAGCTCTCTCTTTTATCATTCTAAATAGGCCTAGACTCTTCAGGAGAGACACTGATAAGGTCAATGGCAACATTATTAGTTCTCTTTGAAATCTGTTGTTTGTAACTAAACTTTTTCTTCCCTTCCTTCAGGTTGGCTCTTGCCATTTAAAGCCAAGCTGGAAGAGATTAAAAGTTTCTGTTCTTTCTCAATTGCTTTGGCCTAACATGCTCTGAGTTTGGAAATTTAACTGCCTCTTTTGTTCTCCCTCATTTCACTTGTGTCTTCCCTTTTGGGGAGCAAATTACTGCTTTTGAAGGAGAATGAGTTGGAAGATGTGTGTGTGTATGTGTGTGTGTGTGTGTGTTGGTAGTATGGAAGATGGGGAGGATAAAAAGAGAAGAGCTTAAGAAGTAAAGACAAAACTCTCAGTTCGGTATTAATATCTCCACGTCTTATTTACAAAGCAAATAGGGAATGGGAGAAAATATTTGCTAATTATAGGTGTTATAAGGGACTTGTATCCATAATTTTTACAAGACACTTACAGCTTAATAATAAAAAGATGAATAATTAATAAGATGAGAAAAGCACTTGAATAGACCTTTCTCCAAAGAAGATACACAAAAGTCCTATAAGGACACAAAAAATTTCTTAACATTATTAGTCATTCGGGAAATGCAAGTCAAAATCACAGTTAACATACTACCTCACACCCACCATATTGACTAGAATAAAACATAATAGACAATAACAAGTATTGGCAAGGATATAGAGAAATTTGAACCTTTACACATAGCTGGTGAGATTGGAAAATGGTGTGCCTTCTTTGGAAAACAGTTTGGCAACTCCTCAAAATGTTAAACATGGGGTTACCGCGTTGTCAGAGGTGTGTGAGCCAGAGCAACCCCATCTTGAGTAGAAGCTGGGTAAAATGAGCCTAAAACCTACTGGGCTGCATTCCCAGACAGTTAAGGCACTCTAATTCACAGAATAAGATAGGAAGTCAGCACAAGATGCAGATCATAAAGACCTTGCTAATAAAACAGGTTTCAGTAAAGAACCCAGCTAAAACCCACCAAAACTAATACAATATGGTGACAAGAGTGACCTCTGGTCGTCCTCACTGCTATACTCCCACCAGCACCATGACAGTTTACAAATGCCACGGCAACATCAGGAAGTTACCCTAAATGGTGTAAAAACGGAAGGTATGAATAAGCCACCCCTTGCTTAGCATATAATCAGGAAATAAATAACCATCAGTATGGGCAACCAGCAGCCCTGGGGGCTGCTCTGTCTATGGAGTAGCCATTCTTTAGTCCTTTACTTTCTTAATACACTTGCTTTCACTTTACTCTGTGGACTCGCCTTGAATTCTTTCTTGTGTGATATCCAAGAACCCTCTCTTGGGGTCTGGATCAGGACCCCTTTCTTGTAACTGTATGACCTAGCAATTCTGCTCCTAGGTGCATACCCAAGAGAATTGGAAACACATGTCTATACAAAAACTTACACACAAAGGTTGATAGCATTATTATTCATGATATTCAAAAAGTGCAAACAACCCAAGTGGTCATCAGCTGATGGATGGGTAAATAAAATGTGGTATATTCATACAATAAAATATTACTTGACTTTAAAATGGGTGAAGGACTTGATATATGCTACAACATGGATGACTTTGAAAGCATTTTGTTAAGTAAATAAAAGTAAAATGACACATATTGTGTGATTTCATTTACATGAAGTATATAAAACAGACAAATCTATATATAGAGAAAGTAAATTAGTGAAGGAGGACAGTGGAGAAGGTGAGTGACTATTAAGAGTGTGGGCTGGGCACGGTGGCTCATGCTTATAATCCCAGCACTTCGGGAGGCTGAGGCAGGCGGATCACCTGAAGTCAGAAGTTTGAGAGCAGCCTGCCCAACATGGTGAAACCCCATCCCTACTAAAAATACAAAAAATTAGCCAGGTGTGGTGGCACATGCCTGTAGTCCTACCTACTCAGGAGGCTGAGGGAAGAGAATTGCTTGAACCTGGGAGACAGAGGTTGCAGCGGGCCAAGATCGTGCCACTGCACTCCAGCCTGAGCAACAGAGCAAGACTCCATCTCAAAAAAAAAAAAAAAAAAGAGTGTGGATTTCTTTTTAGGGTGATAAAAACATTCTAAAATTTGATGGTGACAATGGTTGTACAACTCTGAATATACCGAAAACCATTGAATTTATTCTTTACATGGGTAAATTTTATAATGTCTCACTAAAGCTGTTATTAAAAAGTACATATGGACTTTGATTTCAGTTGTGATAATTTCAATGAAGGAAACTTTTGGGCTTATAAGAAGAATGTGTACTTGGGGGTCTCATTTGACTTGACAGCCATGCAAATATCCTGATGGCAAAGTATAGTATGAAATTTTAAGTATTAACAAAAATAATACATGTTTTAAAAGTAGGCATGTAAAAGAGATTTGGTAGGGATGTTGTAGATACTTACACGTTGATTTAGTGGTTGAACAATATTAACTTTTTAGCATCTATCTGAGATTCTGTATTTAATTCTCAACAAAGATCTTCCTAGTTCTAATTCTCAGTGATTTTTATTTCTCTCCCTATAGAGAGGTCCCTCTCCCATATTTTGTAAGTCAATTTAGCCATCATTACATAGAAAAAAACAAATGCTTGTTCATTGCTTTAAATTGGTGTCTAGTTATGTGAACATAACTTGAGATATAAATTCCTTAAAAGCAAAACTATATTCATATTTCCTTTAACTGGGTTCCTATATGCATTTGATTAAAACAACAGTAATACCTTCCACTTATTGATGCAAACTCTGTGCCAGGCTAAGGCCATTTGTCTAATCCCATCTGAGTAATAACAATAGTACTATTCTTATTATTCCTAGTCCCAATGTGCAGGTGGGAAGACTGAGCCTCAGATAACACAGCGAATTAAATGGGGAAGTATTTTACCCTATGCAATCCGACCCTGGAATCAGTACCTTTCAGTACTATACTGCATTGTAACTTGAAAGTTTGCGGAATTAATAAAAGAAAAACTTCTCCCACCCCTGACTCTTTCTTTTAAATAGGTTGTACTTCCTTCTGAAAATATCGACTTGACTTATTTTTTTTTTATTTTTTTTTTTGTGAGAGTAATTAGCTTTTTCTCAGTCAGCATTTTAAATTTGTTGTGACAGGGATCCATTTTATGCTTTCCACGAGACCCGAAACAAAGTGTTTCTAGACATTTTATTGCCAGAATATGCATGCTTTGCTCCATGCTGCTTGTAATTCATTAAAATGTATGTGCTCTGCAAATAGGAAACCAATCTGCAATAAATCAGCTTTCTAGAAAACATTCATGGAAAGTGTTCGAAATGGTTGCTCTGTAAGAATACACAAACCTGCTTGGTATTTGTGTGATTTGCTGTCATTTATGGGGTTTGTAAACAAATAGTGGATTTGTGTGAAACTGTAAATTAGTAGCCTGCCTTCAGCATGTGTGTGAGATCTGCTTACAAAATGCCATTTGATAGCATCTGAGCAGATCACGATGAGCTCCAAATTCCTTTTACAGGGACAAGTGATGCACACTGGTCTGAATTAGATAAATTGCCCTGACCCAAGATTTTCAACTATTTTTTTTTCTTAATCCGAGACATATTTGTAGCTGCCAGAAAACCTAGCTCACGGGCTTGTACACAGTTGGCATCTAAGGCATAAATCAATGAAGAATAGAAGCCCACTCGTGCTTACAAGTAACAGGCTAAAGATAAGAAAATCAGTTGGGCTTTCAGTTTTAGCCACAGAATACAAAGCTTGTTTGTGCTAGGGAGAGTTATCAAACAACGTGGTGCAGGAGATAATGTGGGTATTCAGTTCCAGGCCTCCCCAAGACCTTTGACTACAGAGTACTTCTCTGAATCCATAGCAAGGGCAACCTACTGCTTCCCTGCGGAAAAGGAATCATGCAGTTCCTTAGGCCAGGGGGTATAAGTCTGTTTCCTGGTAGATAAGGCTCTGAACCAGGGCAGGCAGTATTTTAGTAATGAGCATTCCTCAAATCAGTCAATGTTAATGAGGAACAAACCGTGACCAACCAAGGCTTTAGGGAGATGGCAGTTGTTGTGAGAAAGGATGTTCTGTTTGCCTCATGTTCTACGTGTTCCCTTAATTATTATGAGATTCTGTAAGTGAGCTCCTCTTCACTCTCTGGGAAGAGCTACCATTCTTTTTTATTACTTACACCTAAAAATTATTATTTTAATAAACGTAACATGATTTGTCTTGTAAATAGACCTGCTGTGCAATACCATTCTGCAGATTTTTTTTTTTGCTTTGACTTTGTGCAAATCAGTTTACATTACAGATGTTAATAATTGCTAGGCATGAGAGTGTTGTCTCTCCCTGACTCCTCTTTCCTCTTCCAAAAATGTTCTTTAAGGTCAAATTGAACAGCCCCCCACCTTTTTTTTTTAAAGTGGCTTACCCTGACTAATTCTACTCTATCCTGTTTGTTGTTTTCTTAATCCTTTTGTACAGTTTGTACTACAAAGCTGCATGCTTGATCCTATATTGCCTGGAACTTGTCTGTCTCCCAGTTTTCTGTAAGTACCTAAGCACAGGGTATGTCTTAACATATATCCCAAGTTTCCAGCACAGCAAGGATTTGTGGAAGAATTATGCCTGGTACTTATTAAATAAACAATAAATATTTGTTGAATCAGAAGTCTGAGTAGGCTTACAATAAATGCATACATGCTACCCGAGTGACCCAATGAATGAAACAAAATTGTTCTGTTTTGCATTTGGATGCTTTATTACCACAACTAGATTAAAAATGCATCAAGGACAGGGAGCATGCCTTCTGAAATACAAGAACTCATCATGAGGGCATGTAGAGTAGAGGTTGCTGGTAGGAGATTGTCAAGGATACACAATCAAGGTGGAAAACAAAGAAGGTGTGGGAAGCTAAGGACAGAAAGATCATGGGAAAGGAATAAGACTCATTTTTCTTCTATCATCCTTCTCCTTTCCCTATCCATCCCAGGGAGATATAACAAAGGCCAAACCTTTAGAAGGATATTTTGAAGAAGAAAGAAACTTTTGTAGAAGTTGTTGATTTTCCAGTATAAGGCCCCGGGGAGAGAGCTGAACTGTTGTCAGTTACTGTTCACTCCACAAGGATGTGAAGGCCTCTGATAGCCATCTTGCCGATTTCCCAGTTACAGTTTAGTGCTTGCCTATGGGAATCTCCTAATTAACAATCTTACAGTGTTCATGTCTTCTCTCTTTCTGTTTAGTTTCGTGTCTACAGAATAGAGATAGTGATCCTACATATATGGATATATGTATGCATATATGTGTGTGTTTATATATCTATCTTTATATCGCCATATAATTATAATGCCTGGGTTTGAATATTGGCAGCACCCTTTAATTGTGGTTCAATCATTCCTTAGCTATGTGATCTTGAGCAAGTTACTTAACTCCCCTAAGCTCCATTTGTTTTCTTCTGGAAAAGAAGGATAGTAATAATACCTACCTCATAGAACTGTTTCTAATTTTACTTTTAAACATAACTTTTTTTTCTCATGAGTAGACCTTATTATTTTTAGAGCAGTTTTAGGTTTACAGAAAAACTGAACAGAAAGTAGAGAATTCTCATATACTCCCTCTCTCCCACTCACAGTTTCCTCTATTTTTAACATGTTGCACTGGTGTGGTACATTTGTTACAACTGATGAACCAAGATTAAAATATTATTTTTAATTAAAGTCCATAATTTACCATAGAGTGTTGTACAGTTCTATTCTTTGGGTTTTGCCCCCCAGAATTAGGATTTTGCCAAATGAAAAATGTCATATATCCATCATTACAGTATCATACAGAATAGTTTCACTGCCCTAAAAATCCTCTTCCACCTACTTATCCCCTCTCTTTTACTGTCTCAGTAGTTTTGCTAATATACATGATATTGTGTTTTTAATTTCAAATTTCAATTATTCATGCGAGTATATAGGAAATCAATTGACTTTTATATATTAACCTTGTATCTTGCTACCTTTCTATAATCACTTACTAGTTCCAGGAGTCATTTGGTCAATTATTTGGAATTCTCTACAATAACAAGCATGTAATTTATGATTGAGGACAATTTTATTTTTTCCTTCCCCATCTGTCTCTCTTTTATTTCCTCTTACTGTCTTACTGAATTAGATGAGACTTCTAATATAATGCTGAATAGGAGTGGTGTGAGGGGACATCCTTGTCTTGGTTTTGATCTCAATGGGAAAGCATCTAGTTTCTCACTGTTAAGTATGTTAGCCGTAGGCTCTTTGTAGTTTTTTGTTGCTGTTGTTTTTAACAAAACTTACCCCTATTCTTAGTTTATGAAGAGTGTTTATCATAAATGGGTGTTAAATTTTGTGAAATGCTTTTTCTGTATCTACTGATAGGATCATGTGATTTTTCTTCTTTGGCCTGTTATGTGCTGGATTACAGTAATTGATTTTTGAATGTTGAACAAGACTTGCACACTTGGAATAAATACTACGTAGTCATGGTATATAATTCTTTTTAGGCATTGTTAGATTTGACTTGATAATACTCTGATGAAGATTTTGGCATCTATATTTCTGAGAGATGTCGGTCAGTAGTTTTTCTTTCTTGTAATGTCTTTTTCTAATTTTGGTATAAGGGTAATGCTGGTCTCAGAGAATGAAGTAGAAAGTATTCTCTCTCCTATTTGGTGAACCAGAATATATAGAATTGGTATTATTTTTTACTTAAATATTTGGTAGAATTTACCTGTGAATCTATTAGGGCCTAGTGCCTTCTGTTTGGTAGGTTATTAATTATTGATTTAGTTTCTTTGATAGATAAAGGACTACTTAGATTATATCTCTTTGTGTGTGTTTTGGTAGATCATGTCTTTTAAGGAATTGGTCCACTTTTCTAAATTATAAACAATTTAGAGTTGTTTATAATTTTTTTTTATTTTTTGTTAATGTCCATAGGATCAGTAGTGGTGGCCCCTTCTTCATTTATATTAGTATTTTTGTATCTTCTCTCTCTTTTTTTCTTGGTTAGCCTTGTAGGGATTTATCAATTTTATTCATCTTTTCCAAGAACCACTTTTGGTTTTGTAGATTTTCTCTACTGTGTTTTTGTTTTCAGTTTCATTGATATCTGACTTGATTTTTATAAATTCTTTTCTAATGCTTATGTTGGATGTAATTTGATCTTATTTTTCTAGTTTTCTAAATTACAGCTTAGATTATTTATTTTTAGATCTTTCTTCCTTTGTAATGTATTCATTCAATGCTGTAATATTTTCTTTAAGTACTGTTTCTGCTACATTCCAGGAATTTTGGTAAGTTGCATTTTGATTTTCAGTTAGCCCAAAATAGTTTTTAATTTTTCTTGAGGTTCTTCTTTGAGCCATATGTTATTTTAAAAATGTGTTGTTTAATTTCCATTACTTTTAGAATTTTCCAGCTTTCTATTATTGATTTCTAATTTAATTTAATTGTAGTCTAAACACATACTTTGTATAATTTTTATTCTTTTGAATTTGTTAAGAAATTTTTTATGACACAGAGTGTGGTTTATCCTGATGAATGTTCCATGTAAACCTGAATAAAATGTGTATTCTGCTATTGTTGGATGACATATTCTAAAAATGTCAATTAGACTGATTAATGGTTGAGTTCAGTTCAGTTGAACTACATCCTTACTAAAATTCTACCTGCTAGATCTATCAATTACCAATAACAGGGTATTGAAATATCAAATTATAATAATAGATTCATCTATTTCTTCTTGTAGTTTTATCAGTTTTTGCCTCATGTATTTTGGTGCTCTGTCGTTAGGTTTATGCACTTAAAGGATTGTTATGTCTTCTTGGACAATTGATCCTTTATCATTATGTAATGCCCCTCTTTAGTCCTGATAACTTTTCTTGCTGTGAAGTTTGTTTTTTTGGAAATTAATATAGCGATTTCTCCTTTCTTTTTATTAGCATTAGTGTGATATATCTTTTTCCATCTCTTAACTTTTAATCTCTCTCTGTCTTTATATTTAAAGTGGGTTTTTAAAGATAACCTATGGTTTCTTTAAAATCCATTTAACAGTCTCTGTATTTTAATTGGTGTATTTACACTGTTCAAATTTAAAGTAGTTATAGATAATTTGAAATAATATCTATCATATTAATATTAGCATATTATTATATGCTAATTTGTGATTATTTTACTATATATTATATACATTTATAATATTGACATAATATGCTAATATTGCTAATACTAATTTTAGCATATTACTTCTATTTCTTTTTTTTTTTAACATTTTTTAGTGGTTGCCCTTGAGTTTGCAACATACCACCAATTCAGGCCATCTTTCAATTAACACTACATCACTTCACAGATAGCATATGTACCTTATAACAGAGTATTCCTGTCCCTTATAAGGTTGCTGTCATTCATCAGATCTATTCATAATCTATAATAACTGAGTATATTGTTACTCTTATTATTTTGAACCAGTTGTTACCTGTTAAATCAATTAAGAATAAGAAAAATAAATGAATTTATTTTGCCTTCATTTACTCCTTTTCTAATGCTTTTTTTTTTTGAGACAGGGTCTCATTTTGTTGCCCAGGCTAGAGTGCAGTGATGCAATCACAGCTCACTGCAACCTCTACCTCCCAGGCTCAAGCAATCCTCCCACCTAGGTCTCTTGAGTAGCTGGACCACAGGTGTGCACCATCACACCCAGCTAATTTTTAAATTTTTTTGTAGAGACTGGGTTTCACCATGTTGCCCAGGCTGGTCTTGAACTCCTGGATGTAAGCAATCTTCCTCAGCTTCCCAAAGTTCTGTAATCAAAGGCATGAGCCACCACACCCGGCCTTACTTCCTTTATTTTTATTTTTTGTATGTCTGAGTTTCTGACCTTTATCATTTTCCATTTCTCTGAAGACCTTCTTTTAACATTTCCTGTAAAGCAGGTCTACTGTTAACAAATTCCCTCAATATTTATCTAAGAAAGTCTTTATTTCTCATTCACTTTTGAAGAGTAATTTCATGGGATACAGAATGCTAGGTTGGTTTTCTTTTTTCTCTCAACACTTTAAATATTCTACTCTATTCTCTTCTTGCTTGTATGGTTTTTGTAGAGAAGACTGATATAATTCTTACCCCTGTTTCTCTATAGGTAACGTGGTTTATTCCCTATCTCTCTTCTTTCAAGATTTTCTCGGTCTTTAATTTTCATCAGTTTGATGTGATACACACAGGTGTGAATTATTGGGTGTTTATTCTGTTTGATATTCTCTGAGTTTCCTGGATTTGTGGTTTTGTGTCTGTCATTAATTTTGGAAAATCATCAGACATTTTTATTCCAATATTTCTTCTATTCCTAATGTTCTTTTTTATCATGCTGGTATTCTAATTACGTATATGTTGCATCTTTTGGAATTGTCCCTCAGTTCTCGAATATTCTTTTTTTTTTTTTGTCATTCCTGTTTTTTCTTTGCATTCCAGTTTTGGAAGTTTTTATTTATATACTTTCAAGCTCACCAAGTCTTTCTTCAGCCATGTTGAGTCTACTGATTGGCCCATCAAAAGCATTCTTCATTTCTGTTGCAGTCTTTTAATTTCTAGCATTTTCTTTTGATTCTTTCCTAGAGTTTTCATTTCTCTGCTTATATTACTCACCTGTTCTTGTATGTTGCCTAGTTTTTTTTTTTTCATTAGAACTCTTAATATATTATTCATAGTTAGTTTAAATTCCTTTTCTGATAGTTACAAAATTTCTGCCATACATGGTTTTGGTTCTAAGGCTTGTTTTGTGTCTTTGCATTGTGGGTTTTTAATTTGTTTGCTTTTATGTTTTGCCTTTTACTATGCCTCGTAATTTTTTTGAAATTTGGGTATGATGTTTTGAGTAAAAGAAATTGAAGTGGAGAGGTATTTAGTGGGAGGTTTTTTTTTTGTCTGTTTGGCAAGAAGTTAGTCTGTGTTTATCATTTGTTGTAGCTGTAGTGTCAGGGGCTAAAATTCCCTCTGGTGTCCTTGTCTTTGACTCCTATTTTGTCTTTGAGTTTCCCTAGGAACTTGTTCTTAAATAGATTCTGAGGCTTATAGTCCTATAGCTTTAATATTGTTATACAGGAGCACTACTGATGTAGTGATAAAGTGTCAAGGGGATTTCTTCTATATTCCTGTGTTTAGGTGTCAGTATTTTAGCAAGCTGGAGTTATGCATACCCCTTTCTCCTTATCAAAGACTAGAGGGAACTGGACTGGGTATTTGCCTTCTTCCAGGTTGGTTAATCCTTGATAAAATCCCAGCAAGTTAGGCTCTGGTGAAATAATTTCCTTTGAGTGCAGGACTTGTTAAGGAGAACACAGAGCTCGGAATTTACTTCAAAAATGGTTATTTTCTCTTGAGAAAAAGTACAGATCACTTTTCCCCTAGATTTATGATGAAGACCCATTAGAGTTTCTAGGGATAAAACTGATGGAAGTGTGGAGTTGCCCCTAAAACTGAACCCCATAGTCTGTCTTTCTGATTTTTGGGGCAGCAGTTTGCTCTGTGACTTTATTTTTCTTATGAAGCTCTAAGAAATGCTATTGATCTTTAGTTTGTTCAGCTTTATTTTTCTTATAAGGATGAAAGTGTTGACTTACAAGCTCTTTATATATCAGACCAGAAACTACTTTTTAAAAAATATAAAATATAATCACCATCTAAAGCACTTAGCACAATGCATGGCATGTAGTGAGCACATATTTTTAGCTCTTACTGTTATTTATTATTATTCCATTGAGAAAAACATTTCCTAATAATAATGAAATGACAACATGATATGGTAGCATCACAAAAATCAATACATCTTTCTGAGCATATTAGAAATTATTTCTGTATGAAATAACAGGTTTAAGGAAAAAATTTAATGTGGTCAGAAGTGTGCAATCAAAATAATGAGATGACATTGGCATGAAGAACAAACTCGAGCTGAACGCTAGGCCAGATAACCTGTAACAAGAGAGAACAGTGAGGAATAGGAAAGAAAGTAGCAGAAACTGGGATTGAAGGAGTGTAAGTTTGGAAATAGAAAATGTGGTGAGGGGGATAATAGCCTCTGTAGATATTTGACCCGTAGCAGAATTGATTCAGCAAGCTTTGTCTTTTGTTTTCAAAGATGGTGCTTTCTGATGAGGATTGTTATTTGTACCAAGAGATGCTGCTGAACAGTTTATTCCGAGAAAAGCTGCCCTTTGGTTCTCAGCTGTCGCCACTGTTTAAAACAAAGCTGTCATGGATGTGTGGCTTGCCCCACCTCTTTGCTTCCCCACCCCTGATAACTGTGCATCTGCTTGCCCTGGGTGCTACTGCATTTTTCCAGCGGCTAGAATTGTCACAGCATTTGAAAAGCATGAGGAAAGCATTCCTCCTGTCCTGCCTGCTTGTAGACATATCAGTTTTCCATAGTTACGGCTTATTTTCTCTGAAAATTTCTTGCCTAGCATAGTTTTTTTTTTTTTTTTAACTGAATAACATCTCCTGAGTATCTCCCAAGTAGCTCTAGAAGTTTTGCTTGCTTCCAAAACCTCACGATCAGCAATTCTGCCATACCTTTTAGTGTTAAGACGATATGTAGTTCTACCTGGTAATTGTAAGTAACCAATTTTATATTTATAAAACAGAAAGCATTGCAGCCTGGCAAATGTTGGATCCCATCTGCACCATGAATTTTCAGTTTGTTCTAGACCTTGATTCCTGTATTTGTTTCCTAAATGGACTACTAGATTATATGAGTCACCTGGGGAAGTTGCTTAAAATATAGATTTCTAGAAGCCACCTGAGAATTACTGAAATGTATCAATAGATGATATGGTTTGACCATATTCCTATCCAAATCTCATTTTGAATTGTAGCTCCCATAATTCCCACATACTGTGGGAGGGACCTGGTGGGAGATAATTGAATCATAGGGGTGGTTTCTCTCATACTGTTCTTGTGGTAGTGACTGTGTCTCACGAGATCTGATGATTTTATAAGGGGTTTCCCATTTTGCTTGACTCTCATTCTCTCTTGTCTGCCACCATGTGAGACGTGCCTTTCACCTTTCATCATGACTGTGAGGCCTCTCCAGCCACATGGAACTGTGAGTCCATTAACCTAAAACCTCTTTTTCTTTATAAATTACCCAGTCTTGGGTATGTCTTTATCAGCAGAGTGAAAATGGACTAATACAATAGGGAAGGAGTCTGGAAACCTGCACGTTAAATAGTAACAGTAATATTGCAAGTCAGGTTACAGATTGGCAGCAGCAATCAAACATACACAAAAACATGCACATACACACACACTCATGCATTCACATGCTATAGAGTCCCACTTTATTTAGTTAAGGAAACAGGAACTAATGGAAGTGGGTGGCTAAAGACAGCAGGAATAAATACTTCCTATCTCTGCAGTGCTTTTCCCATGACCCCTCCTTCTATTACTAGGACTGAAAACAAAAGTTGACACTTCCCTCTCTCCTTGCACTTTTGTTATAAGATTTGTATTATCATTTGAGACTATGTTATTCTAAAATTTTGGCATTTCCATTTAAGGCAGGAGTCAGCAAATTGTTTGCCACCTGGTTTTATATGAAGTTTTTGAAGCTGATTTTGGCAGCAATGAACTAGACCTTAATTCTCTGGATACATTTCTGGCAATTATATCATGTGCCTTAAGGCAAGTACTAGTAGACTGTGGCTTTCTAGGCATATGAGTTTGTGACAACTTTCAGGAAACAGGTCACACTCTAAATCCAGATAGATGAGAAACTTCCTTACTGAATTGAAAAAGGTGTTTTAAGTGGAAATCAGGAGGCCTCCTGAGGCTTCTGTCATTACTTTCAGTGTCAGCTTCTTAAAAAGCTCAAGGGCCAGAAAGCTTGAGGTGGGAGAGAAAAAGTGTTAATAAAGAACAATTATGGTACACTCTGACTGACATTTGAATTTGTAATACTCCTTTCTAATTAGCATTAAAGCTTTCTCTATTTGAGGAAAAAGATATGTGACTGAACTTTAACTCCTAAAGAGATGTTTTAACAGCTGCTCACCATCCTAAGATGAATATCAGCAATTAGAACTATTATCGTTTTCTGTCATCATTATGGCTACTGTTATCAATCTTCAGCACAGAAAGCCATGATGCTAATGCTGGCTGTACCAAACTATGAAATCCTAATTACCATTCCATGCTCTAGAAAAGAAGCTATTTGTAAGAACAAAACAGCTATTAAGTGGAGGAGGGCATGGTAGACTTTTAGTGTGCTGATAATTTGGAATCACCAGCTAAAAGAATTCTGGAAAGTAACCCCTTCTTTCATCTGCTTCTTAACTGATTTTAAGGGTTATCGGATATTTTCCAAAGCAGTTTGGGATGGATATTGTATACTTTGACCTCTCAAATGTGGCTCCCACACTGATTTTGCAATCAGCTAATATCACTGTTTGATGACAATCAAAGAGCGTTCATGCATAATTACTGTTGACCCACAAAGAGATACAGTTAGTGGAAAAATGGCTCTAATATATAAAAAATAGTACATCTGTTACTGAGACACAGCCTTCGCAATTATATATAGTAGTCTAAAACGTATACTTCACTATTAAGTTATTTGATCAACTATTTTGAAACTACAGAGAATATTGCCCTTGGCCACTCACTCTTTACCTACTTTTATTTGATATTCAAAGAGAGTAATTAAATTGTTTATTCTAACTGTAGTCATAAATACACCCCATACCAGACCAAAACAATAACAACAACCATACTTTCAACATTAATGTATAAATCAAGAAAGCTGAATATAGAAGACTGAAACTAATTAACTTGCCATTTTACTTATCTACGTTTTTGTTAATCAAATAGGACTCACCCACCAATTGCTGAGGAGTTATCAATGGATCAAGAAGGAGTTTTATCAGTAATGTTAAGGCAAAACCCTCAGACTTAACACTATATCATTTTTCTTTAAGTGGAAGAGTGTTAAAAGGAAAGACTTTCTTTTGACCCCAGCTACATAATCTTCTTCCTAGCATTGCCTGACCAACATCTGAATTCCTTCCTTTTTTTTTTTTTTTTTTTTTTGAGACCAAGTCTCATTCGGTGGCCCAGGCTGGAGTACAGTGGCACAATGTTGGCTAACTGCAACCTCCACCTCCCGGATTCAAGCGATTCTCCCACCTCAGTCTGTGGAGTAGCTGGGATTACAGGCATGTGTCACCATGCCTGGCTAATTTTTGTATTTTTAGTAGAGATGGGTTTTCACCATGTTGGCCAGGCTGGCCTTGAACTCCTGACCTCAAGTGATCTGCCTGCCTCGGCCTCTCAAAGTGCTGGGAGTACAGGCATGAGCCACTGCACCTGGCCTGAATTCTGATATAAATGTAAAACACAGAAAGTTAGAGGGTCTAAAGCTGTGTTTCTCAGGTAAAATATGTTTATGAGAATTAACATAAATTCTAGATATTCTGGAGCTTCCTCTTAGAGGATACTACATATTGAATTCTAACAAGATTTTTTGACTTTTGTTACCGTTTCTCTAACTGACCTAGGGACATGTTATTTTCACCTTTTACCTATCTGTTGCACAGAACACCATGAAACGTACTGTGAGGATGCTGGTCTAGGTATGAATCTTTGTGTAATAAAGTTGGCTTCCACATAGAAGCGTTATTGGAAATCTCAGTTACTGTAAGGTAGCATCAGAGGTACTGGAAGAAAAGAAAGTGACATGATCTTAGGTAGCAGCATGTCTAGAGACCCAAAGTTCACTCCATGTGGTGGTATGTCAGAATTTCCTTCCTTCTAAGGCTGAATGAAACCTTGAGGACATTTATGCTAAGTGAAATAAGCTGGTTACTAAAACTGTATGATTCCACTTATGTGAGGCATTTAGAATAGTTAAAATTGTAGAGGCAAAAAGTAGAATGGTGTTTGAGATGGAGTGGGGGGAGGAAAATGAGGAGTTACTGTTTAATCAATAGAGAGTTTCAGTTTTACAGATGAAAAGAGTTATGGAGCTGAATGATGGCAATGGTTGCATAACAATATGAACATACTTAATGCTAGTGAGATGTACACTTAAAAATGGTTAAGATAGTAAATATTATGTCATGTATATTTTACCACAGTACAATTAATTAGAAAAAAAGAATGCCTTCTATTCTGTTGTAGATCTTTTTTTAATTTTAAAAGAACCTTTTTTTTTCCTCTTTTTTTTTTTTTTTTTTTTTGAGACAGAGTCTCGTTCAGGTTACAGTTCAGCGGCATGACCTCGGCTCACTGCAGCTTCTGCCTCCTGAGTTCAAGTGATTCTCGTGCCTCAGCCTCCCAAGCAGCTGGGATTACAGGCATGTGCCATCATGCCCAGCTAGTTTTTGTATTTTTAGTAGAGACGGGGTTTCACCATGTTGGCCAGGCTGGTCTCGAACTCCTGATCTCTAGCAATCTGCCTGCCTCAGCCTCTCAAAGTGGTGGGATTACAGGTGTCAGCCACTGCGCCTGGCCAAAATGAACATTCTTTTAGAAAAAGAAAGGCAAACGTAGTAGTTTTCATTATGTTTTGTTTTAAAATATTCTCACTTAGGAAAATAAAATTTAATGACCCTATTCTCTCCCTAAGTTATTAATATGGTTTCAAAATATTGTTAGGTTTCTAGACTCTGTAAGAATTGACAGTATACTGGAAGTGCTTCTCTCCTGTCCTCAGCATTGGTGACTCTCAGTGAGCTAGCTACTGCTCTTATTGAGGTTGTGTTTCTCTACTCCTCTGTAACATCGTATAAATTTGTGTGTTGCAGGAGCCTTGTGGCTATGATGTAAGTTTCGTCTCTGCGCAGTTAATTGGTCCATTATGGAACTGAATATTCAATTTTTGTGTCTCTGGCACATCTGTCTGACAAAAAACTAATTGTCCTGGATTGAACCTATTATTAGACCATCTTTTGTTACTCGAAAATTAATGTACCAGGGGTCAATTCAACATCTCAAAATACAATAACCTCTAAAATAGGAAAGTCATGGGATGATAATAAATAAAATGCTAGAGGACTGGGTGCAGTAGCTTATTTCCATAATTCCAGTGCTTTGGGAGGCCATGGCCAGAAAATCACTTGAAGCCAGGAGTTCAAGACCAGGCTGGACAACATAGCGAGACCCCCATCGCTATAAAGAATAAAAATCTAAAATGAAATAAAATGCTAAAGATGGGAAGGACCCTGGAGGAATCAACCAGACCAATCCCCTCATGTTATCAATGAGGAAGCCAGACAGGATGTGATAAATACATAAGGTTCCCTTGTCTTTAGCTTCTGAAACTCCTCTCAGTTAAATGTATTTCCATCATGTGGGTAATACACCATTCTTATAGGAAAGGAAAAACTCTCAGTTGTACTAGGGCAAGTATAATTCAATAGACAATACAGAGATCCAGAGGGAATCAAGAAATAATTTTGCATATTCCTTCTGTAATATGATCAACCATAGTAAATAAATGTTTATAAGAAGGATGTAGTAAAAATAACAAGATTCACATTTATGAAATGTAGTTATAATTTTTTCTTATTCAAGTATTTGTGGGATCATCTTAGGCACATTTAGAATCCAAATAGTCTATTATAGAATTCTGTCTTCAAACTGTATTTAAAAAGGAGAGAAATGTTACCACTATAAATCCTTGATATGTTTGAAAATCCTGGTGTTATTTTCAGTTTTTCTCTGTAGAAAGCAATTTTCTCTGCTGACTAATATGGAAATTTAGCTGGAGTCCATCCTCCTCATTAGGTAGGATAATTTTTGTTAATGTAACATTATAAATCACTTAGTCTTATAAATATTCTGCTTTATTCCTTACCTCAGAAATCTTCTTATTTAAGATATTCAGTATCATTTTATCTTTCCTGAATTGGTTTGGTGTTTTTTTTTTTTTAATTGAGGACATTTTTATTCTTTAACTATCAATAAAATCATTTCCATAGTTCCAAAAATGTCCAGAAAATACCATACAGTCTGGAAAAGCAAGAAAAGAACATTGAGAAACGGTTCAGTATTGACCCCAAATGTCCTTTAATAATAACAGCTTCCATTTATTAAATTATCTTTATATGTTAGTCATGAGGGCTTTATTTAGTTTCACTTGTTGAATCTTTGGACAACTCTATGAAGTAAGTGGTACTAAGACCATTTTACAGACAAACTTGGCCAAGAACACCCACCTAGGAAGTTGGATTGGGATCTAGATCTGCTATACTGCCACGGCCAGGTTTTAATTTTTATGCTGCTCTGCCTTGCCCTCTAAGTGGACAGATGGAGGAGAAGCTTTACTAGGGACCAAGCGTGGGGTTTCGTTGTGCCTCTTTAAAAGGCCCAGCCCTGGTGGGGACTGTGACAGGACATTTGGCCAGGGCAGTTCTAACAAGGGTGATGCCAGCTGCTTGTGAAAAATTGAGTCTTGTGAAACCTTTCTGTAGCTTTACAATTTCTGTTTCAATGAGGAGCTTTCAGTTACATCTATTGACTGCTGCCAGTGAACTGACAATAAAATCAACAATGATACTTCCTTTGTACTTGGAAAGGAGGTGAAGCGGGGGTTATCTCAGAGTCAGAGAAAAAAAAATGTATCTTATTCTTTTTATAATCAGTCCCTAAAGTGTTTTCTGGAACTGTTGACATTCTTGTCAGAAATTGTGTCTTGGCTACATGACTATACATTTTTGAAATTTGTAGTCTAAACCAACAGGTATTATCCAAAGACTTTAGTACATTATCACACATTGGGTAGCAGCCCCAATGTGTGATAATCATGATTTCCAAGTACAGATGCAAGATGTCATGTGCGGACTATACTGTGTTTCCTAATTACAATCCTATCTTACATTGCTCCAGAGGTTCAGACTTTACTAAAGGGGCCTCCTGTATTCTGGCCAGCTCTTGCTGTGCAGGAATAGAAGGGCTTGCATCTATTCTAATTTCTTTTTAAGCCAAAAAATCCAGATTTTTATATGAAATCCAGAGTTTTTTTCAAGAGAATTAAATCATTTATTGATTACACATGATAATGGATGATCTATAAGCTTCATTCCCATCTATAATTTTATCTGGTCCCATTATTCAATTTAAATATATTGCATAGGATGCGCCAACAATCATTTTTATAACCGATAATTTCATGATTTTGCTTGGGTAATCCCTTTTAATGGTGAACTTCAGGTCACAACAGTAACTATCAATTCAACTACACCAAGGTTTCTGAAGACAATGCCTTCTTCACCCAAACAGAAATCCAGATTTTTATGTGAAGTTAGAATCTCCTAATTCTAGTTCTTAAATTTTAGCCAAGTTTTTTTTTTTTAGTTAATACTTGCAGATCAAAAGAAACAAAAAAATTTGTGCCTTAGGTTTTCTCTAGTAAATAATAATACTTCTGATGTCATAAGGTTATTGTGAGGATTAAATAAAATGATTAGAATATGTTTACCATTAACTTTTAGCTGCTTAATAACTTTTAGCTACTTTAATAATAAGAAGAAGAAGATTTTACATTGCTTTCAGTACAGCAGTAAGAAAATATGTGCCAAAGTCACAATCTCTATACAAGCACTTCAGCAGTGACATAACACAAACATGAATAACACTTAGTTGTAGTATCATCTTAAAAAATAGTTAGGAAGCATTATTTGAATTTTTGTTATAAAGTACAAATATTTTGTTTTGAGTGAGCAGATTATTTATGTGTATAAATACATACATGTAAATTAGATAAACCAAGGGACTAGCTAGAAATGCACTTTCCTGGTGTACAGCAATAGAACCACATCAAAATTGAAAGAAAGAAAAGCTTTGCTCATATGATTCAAAAAGCCATCACCCAGATTCCAAGATCATAACAACAAATTAGATAAGAAAATCAGAGTAATCATTGGAAAAGAAAAAATCCACAAGTGTAGGGTTGTGTGCATGATTACACACACATACCCCCCCCCCAACACCGCCCACACACACGCACAGATTTTTCAGGTTATATTTTGAGTTGTGTCAGCCAAAGTGCAATGTGCATTAAGGAACAATTCTACACACCCTCAGTTTTATGTTTTGAAAATTCTATTAGGGAAATTTGTTCTTAACATTTTAGCTTCACACTTTTGAAATCTATTGAGAATTCTCAATCATTTTGCATTCGTTAAGATATATTAAGTTGCTCTACAGTAACCAACGATCCCCAAATAACAGCAGCTTAAATTTGTTCCTCACTCACATTACATGTTCAGTGTAGGTCAGTATAGGGGTTCTGCTTATTGTGGTCTCTCAGGGACCAAGGCTGACATGGTTTCCGTTGACCTCTGTTTCTGTGATCACCATAGCAGAGGCAAAGGTTTATCCCTGTTTTCCCTACCGTCTGTCTGTGACGTCTGGAGTAGTGAAAGATTAGCCTTGCCAATTGTGGATGAGGAGAAGGACAAACTACAAGGAGCATCTCTGATTGCTTCAGTATTTTTAGTCTGCACACACAAAGGCAGAGCTCATAGTCAATTATGTCTGAGCAATTGTTTTTGTCACAGAGAAATTGAGCAAAAAGTTCAACCATTCTTTACTCATGGATTTCAATCAGGTATCAAATGAGAAGCTAATCAATAAGCCAGGACAGAGAAAGAAACAGATGATAGAGTTTTGGGCAGAACTATGAGGTGGGGGCTTAGAAGACTTTCTATCTGCCTCTAGCCTAAGCAGGATGGTTCCGGCAATGGGAACTGGTGACACTGTACTCATTACCAGGCTTCTCTACTTGCTACTCCAAAACTACCTCTTCCTGCCCATGGGGTAGCTTGGCTATAGTGGAGTGAGTTAAGTCCCTGGAAATCTTTGTCTTATTCACCTTGAAAGTTGAGTTGACTGGGAAGAGCCTCTCTATTCTCAAGAGTAGGGGACATCAGCTTCTAAATCTTAGAGAAGTGCTAAATATTTATACTAATTGAACTTAAGAATCATTCAGCCTGATTTATACATGGTTGTTAAATATAGAGGAAAACTCAGTATAACCTGTGGTTCTGTTAACTATTAAACTGTTAAATTTTCTGGAGATAAGTGCTCCTTATGATTTAAACAAACAAACACAAGAGCAATTATTGGAGAGGCGATTCAATTCGGTAAACAGTTACCGAACTCCTACAACTGGATTTCAGTAATTGCAGGGCTTGAGATAGGATAGATTTGAAGATAAAAATGTTTTAACCTTGGAGCACAGATAACCAGACATCTTACTTCCCCTTTTAATTTCATACAACCCGGCATTTGTTCTTCTCTAAACTCATATATCACTCAGTCATGAAAGACTTCTTAGTTACCAAATCCAATTGTCGCTTCTTATTCCTTATAATATGTGTCCTCTCTTGGGAATTTAATATGACTCATAATTTCTTCCTCAAAACAATCACCTTATCTTTTGTAACCCCATACTTTTCTAGGTTTTTTTGCCAATTTTATTGGCTATTATATTGTCACCTTTACAAGCTATGAGTCTTCCAGTTTTCCCTTCAGCATAGGTATTCACCACAGTGAAGTACTCACTAAACTTTCCTGAAGTTACTTTGTTACATTAATATGCATATGCAAATGATCTAAAATGTATGGCACTCTTCCATTTATTATTTCTGAAGACAGCCTTATGTGTTAATTGCATAGCCACCCCTCCTATAATCTCTAACTCACCCTGTTTCATACTGAGCTCATCATCTTCCTCAAACTTCATCCTTCTTTTCCCATTTTATTGAATGGCAATATTTGTTCAAGGAAACTGGATCTTCCTTGTTTCCCTCCCTTTTTAAATTTCTAAATTTAAATTCTGTTTATTCAGCCTTGTCAGAATCTCACAAATATTATCCCTTCTGTTCAATCTAGTGTGGGCTGGGGGTTAGGTGCCTCTTTCCATGTGTTGTCTCAACAACTGATTTATATCTCTATCATAGCAATTTATGTGCCATTATTATGAATCCTTAATTTTATTTAACTTTTTTCCCTGTTGCTGATGGCCTCCTCGAGTCCTGGAACATTTATTTCTCAATTCACAGCATTTATAACATTTCTTTCATATAATGCATAACTAAACCACAAATGAATAAAGTTAGTAGTGCAGAGATGCTGACAATTAAAGCTATGCCTGATAATTTTGTTTTCTGAAAGTAAATGACAATGTCCTTAAATTTTCGACAAGGGGCTAACTGGATTTGTACCTAGAGGTAGTGAAATGATCTGTGTAGGCATAGTACTGG
The DNA here is from genome assembly GCF_000001405.40 of Homo sapiens. NCBI lineage: Eukaryota > Metazoa > Chordata > Mammalia > Primates > Hominidae > Homo > Homo sapiens. The sequence continues at coordinate 51,936,547 of NC_000010.11, forward strand.
ATTCTAAGGAATGAGTCAACAGGACTTGTGAAAAATCTCCCATTTCTTGCATCTTATATCTTTGATACTTCCATTTATCATGCTGGGGGTAGAGAGTATGAGAAAAGCTAAAATTATAATTTTTTGTTTGTTTGTTTCCCAAGTGTACTTGTTATGATGCTGGCTTAAAAACAATTTTTTTAAAAATTTTTTTGCTTGCATAAACACATACTTGGGCAGAATCAAAGGAAATGACAAATAGAATTTACAATTCTTAAAGATTTTCTAAATGTATGTGAAATATGCATTCCTGGTACAGAAGCTTATGACATTCATATTAGAAACAACCCATTTCTCCTGAATTCTTACAAACTTTTTAGATGACAGTTCTCATTTTGTTTTTGGGCTTTCTTGGAGGAATTGATATAGTTAGAAGAGGAAGTATAAGAGATTTATGAGAAGATTTTCATAATGATTCACAGAAATTCAGAAAGAATTATTTTGCTGTTTAGTTAGCAGGAGTGCCTTCTTTTAAAATTTAGCTTTACACTCTAGAGTTGGAAAACACTTTAAGAAAATTACAGAAACAAAGATGAGGTACTCTCAGTACCAGACCTAATGTCCATAATGCCATTTCTAGGTTTTCCAGACCACTTCATAGGACTTGATTTACAAGTATGAAATAGTTCTTCACATGCAAGCAGGGACTGTTGTATATTTCATATGATTTTATTGTGGCCATATTCTATGCCGCTATGAGCTCTTAGGAGGAAAGTCATTAAATAAACCGATTAAATAAAAAATAAATTAATATGAATCTGACTCTCTCTCCTGCAATGTTGGCCTGTTTTGAATGTTTAACCTAATTTAATATTTCCAGGGGCTTTAAGCTATTATGTGCTCTCAGAAAGAGCATATTGAAACAGGCCATGGTTTGTAAATCTTGGCAGATGTTTAAGAACTAAGTCTTTGGTTAGTCTGAATTCTTTTCGTTCCAGTCTGACTTAAGAAATCAGATCCAAGAGTTGTACATACCATCTGTATTCAAAGATTCTCTGAACTGCCTGTTTATTTACTGTTTAATTTTGTGGTAGTTTATCTAACTTCTTAGAAATAATACTTTGTTTTCCTTTTTATGTTAACTAAAAATGAGAGACTTCTGGTCAGCATGCTAAGGATAGTCTCTACTCAGGAATATTTAAATGCCTGATTTCCACTGACTGAGAGTGCCAAAGTCCAAAAATTCATCCAAATACAGTAGTTCCCCCTTATCCACAGTTTCACTTTCTGTGGCCCGAAAATATTAAATGGAAAATTCCAAAAATAAACAACTTATAAGTTTTAATTTGCATGCTGGTCTGAGTAGTGTGATGAAAGCCTGAGCCCACACTGTTCCACTGAGTATGTGAATCATCCCTTAGTCCAGCATATCCATACTTATACGCTATCTGCCTGTTAGTCATCGACATCGTCCGCTCCTGACTTCCAACCATCAACATTGTCTTGGCTTCATGATCTAAAATCACCTGAAGCAGATGATCTTTCTTCTGACATGTCATCAGAAGGTCAATAGTAGGCTAATACAATGTTCATGATGCCTATGTCATTCACCTCTCTTCATCTCACATCATCACAAGAAGAAGGGTAAACACAGTACATTAAGATATTTTGAGAAAGAGACAGAGACCATATACACGTAAGTTTTATTAAAGTATGTTGTTAAAATTGTTGTATTTCTTATTAGTTATTAGTCTCTTACTGTGCTTAATTTATAAATTAAACTTTATCACAGGTAGGTTTGTATAGGAGAAAAGATAGTATATATAGGATTTGGTACTATCTGCAAGTTTTAGACAGCCACTGGGGATCTTGCAATGTATCCCCTATGGATAAGAGGGGGTCATTGTTGGCTTTTTATGAATCTGAACCTAAATGTGGTTTAGAGCAAGGTGGAAAGACATTTGAATTTTACTTTAAGAGGGCATTAATGTCATTCCCCTTCTTTAAAGTGATTGGAAACTACAATCTTAAGCATTCCTTTCTTCTTAAACTTTGTATGATCCTAATACATATGTCATTTTTATCCCTTTTCCTTCTTTCTTACTCACCCCTCTTCCCACTGAGAAGACACCTGCACATGTGATGTCCTCCAAGGATTGTGTGACATCAGGGGTATCCCTAGTCACATTTTAGTACTTCTCTGGAGTCAGAGTACCCAAAATCAAGTCCCACTTTTGCTATTTCCCTTCTAGATATATGACTCTGAGCAAACTGTTTAGTCTTCTAAAGCTTAGTTCCTTCATCAGGTAAAATGGGAATAATATCATTGTATGTACTTCAGAAAGTTTTTGCAAGCTTCTGGAAAGATTAAATAGAATATATTATTAATACTATTTTATCATTTGTATTATTTTTGCAGTGGACACTGATAGGGAAAGGGTATGTGGATAGACCCAGCAAGGAGAATGAATTTTATAGTGTATGAGTATGTACACTTTTAAGAAGTAAAGTCTAAAAATTCTTCTCGTTATGTGTTAGTGCTTGGTTCAGCTTTCCTTAGTTTATCCTATGAATCCTCTATTCTGTTTTGACCACTTCAGCTATTATCTTATTTTATTCTCTTAGTGTTGCTCCATTGTCACCACACATTAATTGCCAGAATTGAACATTATTTTGCATTATTTCCTTTTTTAGAATCTAAACTTATTTAATGTAATATTGCTACAATAGCTATAGCAGAACTCACACAGAAATTTTTATTTGCTGTAGAAAATATGTCACATACGGCCAAATTGAGAATCCTTCTGCCTTGTTGTGATTGGTACTGGATCCTATTTGGTTTTGTTGATTTTAAAACCATAATTAATTTTTTTAAATCCACAAAAAATAAAATCCACAATTGATTACAACCCTGAACAGATACATACAAACTCTGAAGGATGTAAAGAAGTAAAGCACAGGCTTAACATTGCTTTGCTTCTTTATACCATATTATTTATATAAAATCAAGAGCAAAGTCTGATCTCATTGTCAACTCTCTTCTTTCTTGATGAGTTTATAAACTTAATTTTTTTTTTTTTAATTTTGAGAAACACCACTATCTTGGTCATGTCCTTAACATGCTTTAACTTGTCTTTTTTGGCCTCTGGTAAGTACTTTAGGGAGTAGAGTCCTTAAATATGTTGAGTGGCCATGAAACAGCATTTTAACTTACCAGTGGGAATAATACATATATATTTGGTAAATGCAAGAGTACTATATAACTGTAGAAGAAAAATCTTTGATTTTCTCTCAAATCTACTAAAATGTGGTTTGCTATGAAAAGTTATGCTGATGAGTGATCCTGTTTACATTCTCTTAGTTATTCCTATAGGTGACTTAGATACTCAGAAAAACTGAGACTATTTGTTGAATTCCTAGAAAATTTAAAACATTCAATGAATGGAGTCTTTTATATACTTGATTTGTTTCATACTGCCTTTGAATTAAAATTAATGAAAAATTTCTATAGCCTTATAGCTGCCCCTAGTCCCCACCAGAAACTTAAAGAGTCAGGTAATTGGTCATTCTCTGTTGCTTTTAGCTCTATTCTTTTTTTCATGACTTCTCTTTATTCTTTGCAAGACAGGTATACCAAATATCCCCTGCTTTTTTTGGTTGGAGTGAAAAATAAGCCCTTGTCTTTTTTCCTTTTAAACATTTGGGACTCTGTCTTATTTATTTCAGGAAAACCCTTCTCTTATTTTGGGGATCAGCTTTCTACTGATAATCAGCCCTCTATTAATAATTAGCCCTCTACTGATGGTCAGTCCTCTACTGATAAATATATGATCCCAGGAAACGTACTTTTCTCCAAAGGTTAATCCTGGCTGCTCTTAAATAACTCTACTGCTATGGAAAAGAGAGACCCTTTTGATGTGATATGTGAATATAGGGCTGGGTCAAGGCCTCTGTTTATAGCTCTTGCCACTGGTACAAGTTTGGATACCTATGATGGCTATACTGGTTTTTCAAAGTTCAAGGAAAAATGGGCCCTACCTCTCATGTAGTGTCAGCCAGGGATATTTTTCACCAAAGCTGAGTGGGATCCCAGACATCAAGCTTTACAGAGTCATTTAAACATGCAAGTCCTGCCAGGCCATTCTGTTTCTGAGGAGTGAGGGGAGGGTTTTTTGGGACCTTCAAGCACCACTTCTCTTCAACTTTGCCATGTTATTACTTCCCTTAACTTTCGTCTTCTTCTCTCTCTTTTTTCTTTCACCAAAGCACCAAGCCCATAACCATTTCCTATTCTAGAATGAGTAACACATCCTTTTGAGGGAAAATTCTCATCAGATCACAGTAGATATTGTAATGATCATTATCTATATGATGAAAGTGAGAGATAGAACAATTTTACTTCTCAATATCCAAGTTTGGGGAACACAATCAAAGCTAGATAGAGAAAAGTATCAACTTACCATTGTAGTAATTCCATCTGTTCCCCTCTCTGCCACTTGTTACATAGCAAAAAAATCACTCTATTTTATTAAATTTCAGGATCCATCCATTGTAAGATACATCCTAATTTGAGGAACAATAAATCAAAAACAGAGCATCTTAGAATCAGTGAAATTTAGTACATAGCATATATGTATGGTTTAGGGATTTCTTTTCTTTTGTTCCATGTATTTTCTTATGCTTTCTTTTAAACAAATTTAAAATATTTGGAAAATGCAAAAGATAATAAGGAATAGTATAATGAACACTTAAGCACCAACTATGAGACTTAAGAAATAGAAGTTTATAATTAAAATTGAAACCTTCAGTGTATCCTCTCATGTACAATATTCTGTCTCAGTCACTGTAAGAAATTCTACATTGAATTTAACATTCACATGCTTTTATTTATATTTTGATCACACGTGCTTATGTTTTTTTATTATTTTATTTTATTATTATTATACTTTAAGTTTTAGGGTACATGTGCACAATGTGCAGGTTAGTTACATATGTATACATGTGCCATGCTGGTGTGCTGCACCCATTAACTCGTCATTTAACATTAGGTATATCTCCTAAATGCTATCCCTCCTCCCTCCCCCGACCCCACAACAGTCCCCAGAGTGTGATGTTCCCCGTCCTGTGTCCATCTGTTCTCATTGTTCAATTCCCACCTATGAATAAGAACATGTGGTGTTTGGTTTTTTGTCCTTGCGATAGTTCACTGAGAATGATGATTTCCAATTTCATCCATGTCCCTACAAAGGACATGAACTCATCCTTTTTTATGGCTGCATAGTATTCCATGGTGTATATGTGCCACATTTTCTTAATCCAGTCTATCATTGTTGGACATTTGGGTTGGTTCCAAGTCTTTGCTATTGTGAATAGTGCCGCAATAAACATATGTGTGCATGTCTTTATAGCAGCGTGATTTATAGTCCTTTGGGTATATACCCAGTAAGGGGATGGCTGGGTCAAATGGTATTTCTAGTTCTGGATCCCTGAGGAATCGCCACACGGACTTCCACAAGGGTTGAACTAGTTTACAGTCCCACCAACAGTGTAAAAGTGTTCCTATTTCTCCACAACCTCTCCAGCACCTGTTGTTTCCTGACTTTTTAATGATTGCCATTCTAACTGGTGTGAGATGGTATCTCATTGTGGTTTTGATTTGCATTTCTCTGATGGCCAGTGATGATGAGCATTTTTTCACGTGTTTTTTGGCTGCATAAATGTCTTCTTTTGAGAAGTGTCTGTTCATGTCCTTCACCCACTTTTTGATGGGGTTGTTTGTTTTTTTCTTGTAAATTTGTTTGAGTTCATTGTAGATTCTAGATATTAGCCCTTTGTCAGATGAGTAGGTTGTGAAAATTTTCTCCCATTTTGTAGGTTGCCTGTTCACTCTGATGGTAGTTTCTTTTGCTGTGCAGAAGCTCTTTAGTTTAATTAGATCCCATTTGTCAATTTTGGCTTTGGTTGCCATTGCTTTTGGTGTTTTAGACTTGAAGTCCTTGCCCATGCCTATGTCCTGAATAGTAATGCCTAGGTTTTCTTCTAGGGTTTTTATGGTTTTAGGTCTAACGTTTAAGTCTTTAATCCATCTTGAATTAATTTTTGTATAAGGTGTAAGGAAGGGATCCAGTTTCAGCTTTCTACATATGGCTAGCCAGTTTTCCCAGCACCATTTATTAAATAGGGAATCCTTTCCCCATTGCTTGTTTTTCTCAGGTTTGTCAAAGATCAGATAGTTGTAGATATATGGCATTATTTCTGAGGGCTCTGTTCTGTTCCATTGATCTATATCTCTGTTTTGGTACCAGTACCATGCTGTTTTGGTTACTGTAGCCTTGTAGTATAGTTTGAAGTCAGGTAGCATGATGCCTCCAGCTTTGTTCTTTTGGCTTAGGATTGACTTGGCGATGCGGGCTCTGTTTTGGTTCCATATGAATTTGAAAGTAGTTTTTTCCAATTCTGTGAAGCAAGTCATTGGTAGCTTGATGGGGATGGCATTGAATCTATAAATTACCTTGGGCAGTATGGCCATTTTCACGATAATGATTCTTCCTATCCATGAGCATGGAATGTTCTTCCATTTGTTTGTATCCTCTTTTATTTCATTGAGCAGTGGTTTGTAGTTATCCTTGAAGAGGTCCTTCACGTCCCTTGGAAGTTGGATTCCTAGGTATTTTATTCTCTTTGAAGCAATTGTGAATGGGAGTTCACTCATGATTTGGCTCTCTGTTTGTCTGTTATTGGTGTATAAGAATGCTTGTGATTTTTGTACATTGATTTTGTATCCTGAGACTTTGCTGAAGTTGCTTATCAGCTTAAGGAGATTTTGGGCTGAGATGATGGGGTTTTCTAGATATACAATCATGTCATCTGCAAACAGGGACAATTTGACTTCCTCTTTTCCTAATTGAATACCTTTTATTTCCTTCTCCTGCCTAATTGCCCTGGCCAGAACTTCCAACACTATGTTGAATGGGAGTGGTGAGAGAGGGCATCCCTGTCTTATGCCAGTTTTCAAAGGGAATGCTTCCAGTTTTTGCCCATTCAGTATGATATTGGCTGTGAGTTTGTCATAGATAGCCCTTATTATTTTGAGATATGTCCCATCAATACCTAATTTATTGAGAGTTTTTAGCATGAAGGGCTGTTGAACTTTGTCAAAGGCCTTTTCTGCATCTATTCAGATAATCGTGTGGTTTTTGTCTTTGGTTCTGTTTATATGCTGGATTACATTTATTGATTTGCATATATTGAACCAGCCTTGCTTCCCAGGGATGAAGCCCACTTGATCATGGTGGATAAGCTTCTTGAGGTGCTGCTGGATTCTGTTTGCCAGTATTTTATTGAGGATTTTTGCCTCAATGTTCATCAAGGATATTGGTCTAAAATTCTCTTTTTTGGTTGTGTCTCTGCCCGGCTTTGGTATCAGGATGATGCTGGCCTCATCAAATGAGTTAGGGAGGATTCCCTCTTTTTCTGTTGATTGGAATAATTTCAGAAGGAATGGTACCAGTTCCTCCTTGTACCTCTGGTAGAATTCGGCTGTGAATCCATCTGGTCCTGGACTCTTTTTGGTTAGTAAGCTATTGATTATTGCCACAATTTCAGCTCCTGTTATTGGTCTATTCAGAGAGTCAACTTCTTCCTGGTTTAGTCTTGGGAGGGTGTAGGTGTTGAGGAATTTATCCATTTCTTCTAGATTTTCTAGTTTATTTGCATAGAGGTGTTTGTAGTATTCTCTGATGGCAGTTCGTATTTCTGCGGGATCAGTGGTGATATCCCCTTTATCATTTTTTATTGCGCCTATTTGATTCTTTTCTCTTTTCTTCTTTATTAGTCTTGTTAGCAGTCTATCAATTTTGTTGATCCTTTCAAAAAACCAGCTCCTGGATTCATTAATTTTTTGAAGGGTTTTTTGTATCTCTATTTCCTTCAGTTCTGCTCTGATTTTAGTTATTTCTTGCCTTCTGCTAGCTTTTGAATGTGTTTGCTCTTACTTTTCTAGTTCTTTTAATTATAATGTTAGGGTGTCAATTTTGGATCTTTCCTGCTTTCTCTTGTGGGCATTTAGTGCTATAAATTTCCTTCTACACACTGCTTTGAATGTGTCCCAGAGATTCTGGTATGTTGTGTCTTTGTTCTCATTGGTTTCAAAGAACATCTTTATTTCTGCCTTCATTTCGTTTTGTATCCAGCAGTCATTCAGGAGCAGGTTGTTCAGTTTCCATGTAGTTGAGTGGTTTTGAGTGAGTTTCTTAATCCTGAGTTCTAGTTTGATTGCACTGTGGTCTGAGAGATAGTTTGTTGTAATTTCTGTTCTTTTACATTTGCTGAGGAGAGCTTTACTTCCAAGTATGTGGTCAGTTTTGGAATAGGTGTGGTGTGGTGCTGAAAAAAATGTATATTCTGTTGATTTGGGGTGGAGAGTTCTGTAGATGTCTATTAGGTCTGCTTGGTGCAGAGCTGAGTTCAATTCCTGGGTATCCTTGTTAACTTTCTGTCTCGTTGATCTGTCTAATGTTGACAGTGGGGTGTTAAAGTCTCCCATTATTATTGTGTGGGAGTCTAAGTCTCTTTGTAGGTCACTCAGGACTTGCTTTATGACTCTGGGTGCTCCTGTATTGGGTGCATATATATTTAGGATAGTTAGCTCTTCTTGTTGAATTGATCCCTTTACCATTATGTAATGGCCTTCTTTGTCTGTTTTGATCTTTGTTGGTTTAAAGTGTGTTTTATCAGAGACTAGGATTGCAACCCCAGCCTTTTTTTGTTTTCCATTTGCTTGGTAGATCTTCCTCCATCCTTTTATTTTGAGCCTATGTGTGTCTCTGCACGTGAGATGAGTTTCCTGAATACAGCACACTGATGGGTCTTGACTCTTTATCCAATTTGCCAGTCTGTGTCTTTTAATTGGAGCATTTAGTCCGTTTACATTTAAAGTTAATATTGTTATGTGTGAATCTGATCCTGTCATTATGATGTTAGCTGGTTATTTTGCTCATTAGTTGATGCAGTTTCTTCCTAGCCTCGATGGTCTTTACAATTTGGCATGATTTTGCAGTGGCTGGTATGGGTTGTTCCTTTCCATGTTTAGTGCTTCCTTCAGGAGCTCTTTTAGGGCAGGCCTGGTGGTGACAAAATCTCTCAGCATTTGCTTGTCTGTAAAGGATTTTATTTCTCCTTCACTTATGAAGCTTAGTTTGGCTGGATATGAAATTCTGGGTTGAAAATTCTTTTCTTTAAGAATGTTGAATATTGGCCCCCACTCTCTTCTGGCTTGTAGAGTTTCTGCTGAGAGATCCGCTGTTAGTCTGATGGGCTTCTCTTTGTGGGTAACCCGACCTTTCTCTCTGGCTGCCCTTAACATTTTTTCCTTCATTTCAACTTTGGTGAATCTGACAATTATGTGTCTTGGAGTTGCTCTTCTCGAGGAGTATCTTTGTGGCGTTCTCTGTATTTCCTGAATCTGAATGTTGGCCTGCCTTGCTAGATTGGGGAAGTTCTCCTGGATAATATCCTGCAGAGTGTTTTCCAACTTGGTTCCATTCTCCCCGTCAATTTCATTCAGATACACCAATCAGACGTAGATTTGGTCTTCTCACATAGTCCCATATTTCTTGGAGGCTTTGTTCATTTCTTTTTATTCTTTTTTCTCTAAACTTCCCTTCTCACTTCATTTCATTCATTTGATCTTCCATCACTGATACCCTTTCTTCCAGTTGATCGCATCGGCTCCTGAGCCTTCTGCATTCTTCCCATAGTTCTCGAGCCTTGGCTTTCAGCTCCATCAGCTCCTTTAAGCACTTCTCTGTGTTGTTTATTCTAGTTATACATTCGTCTAAATTTTTTCCAAAGTTTTCAGCTTCTTTGCCTTTGGTTTGAATTTCCTCCTGTAGCTCGGAGTAGTTTGATCGCCTGAAGCCTTCTTCTCTCAACTCGTCAAAGTCATTCTCTGTCCAGCTTTGTTCCGTTGCTGGTGAGGAGATGTGTTCCTTTGGAAGAGGAGAGGCTCTCTGCTTTTTAGAGTTTCCAGTTTTTCTGCTCTGTTTTTTCCCCATCTTTGTGGTTTTATCTACTTTTGGTCTTTGATGATGGTGATGTACAGGTGGGTTTTTGGTGCAGATGTCCTTTCTGTTTGTTAGTTTTCCTCCTAAGAGACAGGACCCTCAGCTGCAGGTCTGTTGGAGTTTGCTAGAGGTCCACTCCAGACACTGTTTGCCTGAGTACCAGCAGCAGTGGCTGCAGAAGAGCGGATTTTCATGAACCGCGAATGCTGCTGTGTGATCGTTCCTCTGGAAGTTTTGTCTCAGAGGAGTACCCAGCCGTGTGAGGTGTCAGTCTACCCCTACTGGGGGGTGCCTCCCAGTTAGGCTGCTCAGGGGTCAGGGGTCAGGGACCCACCTGAGGAGGCAGTCTGCCTGTTCTCAGATCTCCAGCTGCATGCTGGGAGAACCACTGCTCTCTTCAAAGCTGTCAGACAGGGACATTTAAGTCTACAGAGGTTACTGCTGTCTTTTTGTTTGTCTGTGCCCTGCCCCCAGATGTGGAGCCTACAGAGGCAGGCAGGCCTCCTTGAGCTGTGGTGGGCTCCACCCAGTTCGAGCTTCCCAGCTGCTTTGTTTACCTAAGCAAGCCTGGGCAATGGCAGGCTCCCCTCCCCCAGCCTCGCTGCCGCCTTGCAGTTTGATCTCAGACTGCTGTGCTAGCAATCAGCGAGACTCCGTGGGCGTAGGACCCTCGGAGCCAGGTGTGGGATATAATCTCCTGGTGCGCCGTTTTTTAAGCTCGTCAGAAAAGCGCAGTATTGGGGTGGGAGTGACCCGATTTTCCAGGTGCCGTCTGTCACCCCTTTCTTTGACTAGGAAAGGGAACTGCCTGACCCCTTGCACTTCCCAAGTGAGGCAATGCCTCGCCCTGCTTCGGCTCGCGCATGGTGCGCTGCACCCACTGTCTTCCGCCCACTGTCTGGCACTCCCTAGTGAGATGAACCCGGTACCTCAGATGGAAATGCAGAAATCACCCGTCTTCTGCGTTGCTCAGCCTGGGAGCTGTAGACGGGAGCTGTTCCTATTCGGCCATCTTGGCTCCCCTCCTGCTGTTTGTTTTAAATTCATAAAGTGTGAAGGACACTCAAGCAGGTTCATGGGCTGAGGAGAAGGAGCCCTGGGTGTTGTGGTGTTGAAGTTGCAAGAAAGAAGAAGGGCTGCAGAGCTGCACCAGCCAGGATGTCAGACCAGCCACAGGGGGACTCCATGGGGACTGAATTCCTTCAGGTCATAGCAAGATTTGGGGTGGAGAGGGAGAGTCTGAACTTCATCCAGTGAATATGAGGAAATGACCAGGAAGTCAGGAGATGACAGCACCAAAGAAACGTGAAGGAAAACTCAGCAGACGGCACCTACCTCAGATGAGGGCATGCACAAGACTGGACACCGTCATTAATAAATTTTATAATTTTCTTAAAGGTCTTCTACATTTGTGCTAAAGTTTATTCCTTGGTTTCTTATATTTATTATTACTTTTTTATAAATGGTATTTATTTTTTTCATTATATATTTTTGATGAAAGAATAGAGATTTATGACAACATTTCTCAATTTAAGATATTTATTAAATTATTTACATTGTTACCTCAAACAAGTGCTAGTTCACCATGATTCAAAACATGTATTTCAGGAGTTTCATGTACTGAGAATATTTTATTGCCATACATAGAACAATTTCTTCTTAGATTTGACTTTGAAGATACGAAAGTGGCTTTCTGACTGATATTTACATTCCTACTTTAAGTATATATATACTGTTTATTTTTGCCCACTTCCTAAGTAGTAATTTTGTCTATAGTTTGTTGCCCATTAATGAACTTAGTGAAATTGAAATATTGAACTATTACAAACATTTAACAAAGAATAGGATAGAAAATATTAAAAATATACTGCAAGGGATAAGGGTTTTGGATTTCATGTGATTCAGGTATTATTTCATGAAACTTGTGTGTGTCTCTGTGTGTGTGTGTGTGTGTGTGTGCGTGTGTGTGTGTGTAATTTGATAAGTAATTTTAAAAGAATACATATACTGTACTTTTTGTTATATTTAAATTCAGTCTTGGTGACCTGAGAAATAGACTCTGAGTATTACTTCTCTGAGTTGTCAAAGACAGAGTTTCAACGAGCCAACTAGTTTGAAGGCTATCATCACCACCACAACCTTTTTAAAATTACTTAAGAAGAAGATTCACAAAATCAACTCTTGGTCACATAGTCTGGAAATAGATTCATATATCTCTTGGCCATTTATTTGTCAATAAACTAAACTGTAGGGCAATCTTTTCAAAGTGAATTATAGTTAATTCTTTAAAACATTGATTCAATAAGGATTACAAAGTATAAGATAACCAGAATAATATGAACTATTTGTGTGCATGTTTTTGAATACCTCTCCCAATTATATAATAATAAGACTTGCACCATAACAAAAAAGTTTTATGTCAACTACATGATTTTCATTATTGCGTCTTTGTCTTCTGCATGTCCAACACTTTAGGTTCAGCACTGGACTAAAGATTGCCTTCAATATGGACATCTAAGACTTAAATTCCACCCTCATGAAGCCTACAATTTAATGAAGGTGTCCATATAAACACTTAAGAAATATTTAACATGTAAAACAAAATAGCATATATGTTGTCTTTTAGGAGGCAAGATTCAAAAAGGGATGGTTTGCATTTTTGAGGACTAGAATTGTGAGACAGGGCTTAATGGAAGGAATAAACCTAGTTGCATTGGGCTTTGAATAAGAAATTTGGTTTAGGCTGGACACAGTAGCTCACATCTATAATCCCGGCACTTTGGGAGGCCAAGGCAGGAGGATCACTTGAGACCAGGAGTTCGAGATCAGCCTGGGAAACACAGGGAGACCTCATGTCTATAAATAAATAAATATATATATATATAAATAAAATTTGGTTTAGATTGGTACAATAGAGTAGAAGAGCATCATATGTCAGAAGGAAATGATAAGAAAAGCAACAAATGCCTAGAACATGTGTACAGTGATAGCCAAGAGAGTTGTCACTCAGGAATTAAAGGTATGTTAAGGTATCAGAGATAAGATTGGCTAGAGTACAGCCTGATTATTGAGAACTTCTTGCTTCCAGGGTGGTAGCTGTGATAAAATAATTCTCAATTAATATAATGTCCCTTGTTTAATCAAGAAGTCTCCAGGTTCGACTTACCTGCAGACATAAATTAAATCATGTTTACATGAATAGCCTCATTTTACTCTGAATTTCATCATCATGTCAGAGGGTGTCTTCTCAGATTATAATCATACATGTATACATGCCATAAGCATTTCCAGATACATTGTTATGTCATGCCATCAACTTATATTTGGAATTCTTATGTCCAAGGAGCGCTTGGGTGAAGATTTCAAGGAAAGCATTTCAGTTTAAAATGAGGAAGGTGATAGCTGCTACAGTCTTTATTGAGCTTCCTGTCACCAAAGGCATTTTAGCAATTACTTTTCTTGATGAAGATTTTGAGTCAAGCACAAAATAAAGAAAAAGTTGGACTACATAACTCCTACATCCTTCACATTCATGAAAGTATGTAAGACTCTCTAGGCTTTCAAATGTCACAATGCCTTTTATTCACAAAATCATAGCATACTCTTGAAATACACTCATATGCTCCAAATATACATCTATCTTTTCTCTTTTATGTATAATTAAACCCTGCAAAATATTTCTTCTTGACAATTAAAAGCATATCTCTTAGTGATTAATATAAACTAGAGAAAAAACAAGTGATAAACTACAGATCACCAAGTACATACTGAATAAAACTTGTTTAAAATTACAAGTTTTCAATTAGACTTATATGAGAGGCTTTTTGGAAGAGAGAAAGTTGTAGTGACACAGGAATTTTCTTTCGGCCACTTTGCCAGACTCGCAGCAGGGGCACCCTGTCTACCCAGCCCACAGTGCTCTGCCCCTTGCGGAAGGGAGCACGTGAGTGAGCCAGGGCGGGATCTGGCTGGCCATTCCAAGCACAACACAGGAGCAAGCTTCATGTGGGGCCTGCAGCCAGACCAGGAACTAGGGTGCCAATGACCCTGAAGCCCCAGAGGGGGTATTAGTATGCTAATTAGTTCTTTTAGTTCCACTATCCATGGACAGCTGCACGTCAGCAGCTCAGTCAGTCCCTGGCCCCATGGCATGGAGCAGCTGCCCTTCACTGGCAAGGGCAAAAGGCCAGTGGGACAGTCTTTCTGGGTACCTGCGCTCAGTGTGGCCTGAGCTCTTGTCCAGCATCCAAGAAGAATGAGGTTATGCTGACAATTGAAGCATGAGCAAGGCAGGGAGTTTTATTGAGTGATGAAATAACTTTCTGCAGAGAGCGGACGTGGGGGTGGTCCCCCAATGGTGGGAAAGTCCCCCAGTGTAGCTGAGTCCCGGAGCTTTTATGGGTTCAGAATAGGGGAGGTGCAAGCCATAGGTAGTATGGGAAAAGACAACATTCAATTGGATAAAAGGCATTATTCAGAAAAAAATCAGTCGGGGAAGGGTGGGCAACCAGGAACAGAAGTTATCCCTCTGGGTCATGGGTTTCATCCAGGACCAGCAGTTGGGTTTTTCAGCCTTCAGGCTGTTTTTTTTGGCTTGAAGGTGTGGTTTCACCAGAGACCTGCCCCTATGTGCTTTGGCATTTGGCTGCCTCCTGTTGCTCTCAGTAGCAGCATCTTATTAGAAAAGGATTCAGTGAAGTAGAAGGCCAAAAGAATGTGATTATATATTGATTAAAGCTATGAGGCAAAAGATTCCTGACTTCCAGAGATACACAGCCAACCCACATGTAATAAACTTAGATGGTTGCCTGCCAGATGTTTTTCTCTTAAAATTCTTAAGCTTAATACTGTTGCTAATAATACACAGAAATGATAAAATTCACTTAACTTTTGGATATGGCCTGAATAGTTTGCAAGAGATCCTTATTCCTTATAACACATGTATTTATAATAAATATATTTTCACTTATGAGTTTATTTTTCCAAAGACCTTATGGTACTATTCACAGAATTTTTAGAAGAATATTCTTTTGTATCTTAGAATTTAAAATGAGATAGTTTCCAGACATTGGGATGAGAAGGCAGGAGACAGAAAGGAAAAAAAATAAAACAATGGGGACATAACTGGAAATGTCAGTAGGCATAAGTTGGGGAAATAATTTTCTATCAACTACTGTTCTAGTTGGAACGAACCTCTAAGAGAAAGGTAACTGGAGTAGTTATGGTCAAAAATAGCTCAAAGGCCAAATCCAGCATGCCTGTTTTTGTATGAGTGGTGACCTATGAATAGTTTTACATTTTTTACTGTTTGAAAATAATCAAAAGAAGAGTAATAGTTCATGCCACATCAATATTATATGAAATTCAGATTTCAGTGTTCATAAAGGTGTTATTGGAACCTTGCCATACCCATTTGTTAACATATTTTCTGTAGTTAGTTTCCAACTACAAGAGGAGAGATGACTATTTACAACAGAAACTGGCCTACAAAGCCTAAAATGTTTACTATCTGGCTCTTTACAGAAAAAGCTTGCCAATCCCTCTGCTAGAGGATAAGTTAGAGAAGTTGACATCAACTTCAATATATAATGTGGGTTTTTTAAACTGACCTGATGTTTGTCCAAATGTTGTTAAAAATTTGGATCTTGGGCTGCTTGCCCGACCTACTAAATCAGAATCTAGGAGCAAAGGCCTGGACATTTGTATTTTTTGTTAAGTATCCAAATGTGCATTTTCATCAGGCAAATTTGGGAATCACTTGTGCTGGCTGTGAACACAGGCTTTGGAATCAGACATTTAGGGTTGGAGTCTGAGCTCTACTACTTACTAGCTGGGGGACTTTAGGCTCTTTTGGACAATACAATATGATTGACTTCATTAGCCTCAATTCACTCATTGGTATAAAAACCTAACTCATCAGGTTTTTGTGATCATTTAATAAGGTAATATATTTAGATTAGATATAGTTAAGATTAACACAGTGCCTAACACATTGCAAATGCTTAATAAATATTAAGTGTCATTGTTCTTAGTGTAAATAATATTAGCAGTAGTTTTTAATTAGAAGTAGAGATTAAAGGAGGCATCATGGTACAGAAAGAGCACTGTACTTAGAATCAGAGGACATGAATATGAGTTCCAACCCTGTCACTTACTAATTATGTAGCATTGAACCACACAGCCTTATTGGGATTCATTTGCTTCATCTGTAAAATGGAAATGAAAATAATTATGTATCTCAAAGTCATTTCTAAAGGTCAGGATATAACAAAAAGCAGTATTTATCTTAACCATTCTGTTGCCATGTCTAATACAGAGCCTGGGACAGTGTGATTAATACATGTTTATTGTATCCAAGTGAATCTAACCAACTCATGCCTGCTGCAGAGGCATATTTCCTACTTTAATACTCATTGTTTCTTCTAAATGCCCTTTGCTCAAATGCATACATTTTGTAAATTTCTTTAGCTTTTTCTGTCTATGTTTAAGTTAAAATTTGTTAGCAATCAAGAGTTTATTTTCTCCTCCTGTAGTTAAAATCCTGTTGGTAAGATCAGAAATGATGGCTGCAGAAAAGGCAGGGATGTCACCAATGGAAGATTATAATTTGTGTGCTGTATTTAACAAGTCGTAGGAAATTTACAAGGAGAAAATAATATAAAAGTGGTTCACCTTCGCCCCCCAAAATCTCACACACATTCAAACTGTTTTCCAGGCAGAAATGTCAATGTAGAGGTAGAAGTGACATGTGCAGGCTTTTAAAGTGTGAGAAACAAAATCAGTTTCTTTCACTTGCATTCAGTTTCCAATAACTGCCAATTGTAGCAGTGTGCTGGCATCATCAAAGGACTTTTTTCAGTAAATGTCTTTTCTCTACTTTGCCCTAATCCCTGGCCTCCCCAACCCTCCACTCCAAGGCTGTTAATTGAGTGGTGACTACTGACCGATGAAAAGGAATTACTCATGACAACAGTTAGTTCGGGAGGTACTTGCTGTTGTCTTTGTGTACCGAGGTATCTCCAGAGTCTACCACAGTGCCTGGCAGTGTGTCAGTAAGTGCTTAATAATGTTTGATGAATGAATGTTAAATGAACATTCTCCATGGAAACACCATATTGTGTGTGCGGTTTTGTTTTTTTTTTAACTTTTGAACTGAAATCAACAAAAACGTAAGTGGTGTAGTACTTCTCAGTTGTTTGGCCATTATTTATTTCAAATTCTGTATCCTCTATATTATTCAAACTATGCATAGTTAGTAATTACTACAGGCTTTCTTGGTTGTGACAATCAATATCACTGTGACTTTGTGTTAAAGAAATTGCCCCTTTTATCTTCTGATATGGATTTCCACTGAGCAAAATGAGGCATTTATTAATCCATTTTAGGATTGGAATGAAGGAAATTGTTTTCTCTCCTAATTATTAAAGATTTACTAATGAATTATTGTTACAACCAGACCTATTTTTCTATCAAGAAGTCTGTGCATTTGATTCCAGTGGAATCATAAGTGCATAAATGTAGTTATATAAAAAAGTTAGAGGATCCCAAGTTTCCTTAAAAAACCATGAAAATCAAAGCAGTCTCCAAATTTTTAGAAAATGTTTTTGAAATGACAATTATGTAATAATCCATTGAAAATAATAGGCTCAATTTTCTGGATTGTTGGTACATAAGTAGGTGTTTTGTCTAAATATGAAATGAACCAGAAGTAGAGACGAATGCATGCAGTCTTTGCTTTTCTGATTTTGCCTAGGAACCAAGAATTAAATTAATGACTTGCATTTCTAGACCAACATTGCAAGGATTATGCTTTACTGAATTTACTAAAATTAAAAAAAGAAATACAAGTGCTTTGAAAGATGAATGTGTATAATAAAAAATTTGTACTTTCCTATAAGAAACTCTATATTTTACACACAGTGGTTGTTAGATTCAGTTTGTTTACCACACTTGAAATGCTTTGTATTTGCATGTGTTTGAGAAAAACACTTAGAAAACATATCACACCTTAGCTTAATGAAATTCTCTGAACATAGACGCCCACTTTCTCAGAACTTGATTTCAGGAGGAGTCATATGTATGTATCTTGGCGATTTGTAAGTCATAGGAATTTGGTAAACTCAATAACTGATCAGAGACTTTTATTTTTGTTTATTTAAATTTGTAACCATAGTATTCACTCTGCTAAGCAGAATAGACTTGGTATTGCTTATGGTTTCTTTTTTCCCCCATCTGGAGACAGAAAATTCTAAATTTACAAAGATGGAGAGAATAGTGTAATCACCTCCCAACCATGTACCTACCTATCACTGAGCTTCAGTAATTATCAACATTTTGCTATCTTTTATTGTTTCTCCTTTCTACCTTACCATGTTTCTTTTTGCTGGAGTTTTAAAAAACAAAGTTCAGACTGTCATTTCAATAGTCGATATTTCTTACATCTATCACTTTTCAGGTTTTGTGTGTGTGTGTGTGTTTTTTAAAGGACATAATTTTGTAGTTGGCTTTTTAAGATTCTTTCTTTGGCCTATGGGATGCAATCTGTTGGGGAGTCTTTGAAAAGCAGTATCCAGATTTGTACCAGGAGGGCCATCACAA
Organism: Homo sapiens; assembly: GCF_000001405.40. Lineage (NCBI taxonomy): Eukaryota > Metazoa > Chordata > Mammalia > Primates > Hominidae > Homo > Homo sapiens. The sequence goes on from NC_000010.11 coordinate 51,955,188, forward strand.
ATTGGTCTCTAGCCTGAGCTCACTAGTGGGAAGTTGTGTCTATTGGCAACACTTTCCACGGGAGGAAAACCAGCAAACCTGCCCCATTCACCAATATTTGACAGCCCTTTAAGGTTAAGGTACTATAGGTTAAGGTGCTCAGGATCATGGTTTTCTTTTCACGGAAAAAGACCCATTATTTCATAGGTTGGTACACCATATTGAAGTACCAAAATAAATCAAGGATTTTTCATATGTACTATACTTTTAATAGTGTATTAACTTTTTAAGGTATTTAAAAGATGAATAATTCTAAAAATCAATTTCTTACTACATGCATTTGTTAACTATTTTGTAAGCTTCAGCATATTAAGTAGCACTCAAATGAAGATTTCGTAGGCAAAATGTCATTCGATTTCATTATTATGATGAATAGTTTTTTAATGTTGTCAAATCCTTTTAGATTTAAAAATGTCTTTATGTCTGGAAATCGTTAGTCCAATACAATCTTTTCTGCATTATTCATGTTCTCTTAATGTTAACTAGTTTATACATGGTTAATAAAGTAGAGAATGACATAGAATTTGTTGGAATTTATGTATAATTTCCCCCAGAATGTTAATGTTTTAAAGTGGTTTTTTGTTTGTTTGTTTTCTTTTGTTTTTAGAGTTAAAGCGAAAGTCTTAGAACATGCCTTCCTTTTGTGCAGGAAGAGCTAATTTAGTGGCTTCAATAGCGACCATTCTTCTCTTTTCACATGCCAAGCTTTCTGGGGAAGCTGCAAGTACAGATGAAGATTAAAAGGCATTTGTTTTGTGTTTAAGGGGAAAAAGATTGATGAAGAAAGCTACCTTTGAATCATATTTTTAATTTTGATGAAACTGATCTCTAATTAGAAACATGTTTCTTTAAGGAACCACATCTTGAAGGATATGATTTCTGTGATGTAGGATATCACAAATGAACTACAGTGGCTTCCTGTTGCAAATGTCAGTAAAAATTTAATTGTGCTAGTATTTTTATTAGGATTATTATTTTGTTGGTATTTTTGTTGTATCATTTTGTGGTTTCAAGTGATATACTTTCCCCATAAGCTCTGTTATTCTTAGTATGCAATTTTATTGGACACAAGTTTCCACAGGAATACATATCTGGTGTTACAACAATAATATCTGTATTAATTATATATTAATAAAGTATACATTATTAATAACATATATTCATTTTGTGTATATTATCAATTATTTTTGAATAGTAACAATAAAACAATTTGAAATAAGAAGCAAAGTGAGAATCTGCCCAATTGATACTTAAACTTAAAAGAACTTAGGATACTTTCCAAGATTCCACCATTAATCTTTTGGATATTTAGTCTAAATTTGAAGAGAATGAACTGAGGATATTTTCATTATACTCTATGGCTTTAAGTATTTGAAATCAAAGTAATTCAGATTTACAACTTTATTGAGTTACCAGTTGTTTTATTTGAAACTACGACAACCAATACATAAATGAATGAACTATTTCATATTCTGATATAAAACTCCTCTCTCTCTTTTTTACATCCACAAATAAATTTTAAGTTTCCCCACTCATATTCACTCTGTACCATGTAGTTATTTCTCTCTCTATTTTTTCCTTACTCCCATGTAAATCATCAAATTCTTTATGTACTTACCATATTCACTGGTACTGTCCAGATCTATATGTTACTAGCCCTGAAATGTGAGAACTCAGAATTTCAGGGAGTCTTGAAAGTAAATTGTGGGACAAATTTTCTTTCTTTCCTTCCTTCCTTCCTTCCTCTTTCTCTCTCTCTTTCTTTCCTCTTTCTCTTTCTTTCTCTCTCTCTCTTTTCCTTTTTTCCTTCCTCCCTCCTTTCTTCCCTCCCTCCCCATCTCCTCTCTCTCTTTCTCTCCTTCTGTCTTTTCTTTCTCTCTCTCTTTCTTTCTTTCCTGCTTTCTTTCTTTCTCTTTCTTCTTTCCTCTTTCTTTCTCTCTTTCTTTTACTTCCTTCCTTCCTCCCTCCTTTCCTCCCTCCCTACCTCCCTCTCCTCTCTCTCTTTCTCTACTTCTCTCTTTTCTTTCATACATAGCTTTTCCTTTCTTTCCTTTTCTTTTCTTTTTTTTTTCTTTTCTCTTCTTTCTTTCTCAGGGTCTAACTCTATCAGACTGGAGTACAGTGGCACAATCATAGCTCATTACAACCTAAGACTCCTGGGCTCAAGTGATCCTCCTGCCACCGCATCTACAGTAGCTGGGACTACAGGCTCATGCCACCATGCACGGCTAATTTTTTAAATTTTCTGTAGAGACAGGTTCTCTCTATGCTGCCCAGACTTGTCTTGAACTCCTGGGCTCAAGCAATCTTCCCATACTGGCTTCCCCAATTGCTGAGATTATAGGCATAAGCCATTGTGCCCAACTGTGAAAAATATTTTAAAACTATAAATTACTATTGGGTCATGCAGGTCTGAATCTTTTCACTTTGAGTAAGTATATTGTTTTCTTTTCCAGAATAAGAGAGAGAATCTCAGTATACCTTATAATTTACAAAATATGTGTTCAATTCTCCTCTGCTTAGGGCTATATGGAGCTAGTAAAAAACATTTCTTTTCATCCAATGAAATCACAGTTTGTAACTTCACCTGTAATAGTGTAGGACATATAGTTGTTGTTACACATTTATATTTCCATTAGTCTGTAAGCTATCTGAAGTCCGAAACAAAGGCTTATTTATCTTGACACTTTAAAGACAGTGCCAGTGAGTTAGATGCTCGGTTGAATGATGCTTTTTGAATGAATAATAATGTAAAGGGCAAAATTCTCAAAGTAGAGTATCATTGATAATTTTTACCTTAGATTTTTTTTAATATAACAAGCACTCTTTAATTTGAATAAAATAGAAGTATTTTTTCAACTTTGTTTATCTGCAAAAATAGCTTTGACTAGAGCAGATGTTCCCTGGAATGAAAATGTACACTTATTGTGATACAAGAGAAATTGTTTAACCAAATCTATCATCCACAAGAATTGCTATACTTCCTACCTTATTTAATTTCTCCCATCACTCAGGCCTCCTGGGCCATTATCAGGGTAGTTCTTATGAAAAAACAAGTCAAGAAAAAAGACCTTAGAACTTTTAGAGAATTTGTGATTGTAGAAGCAAGGAAAGGAACAAAAAAAGAAAATCCAGGATAGATGAACGAAGTTGATATGTTAGTGTGTGTAGATGTGTTTTGGAACTAGGGGCAGGGGTTATGAAGATTCAGAGGGATACAGATACAAACTGGACCAGAGTTTTTTTTAGGATAACTTGGTCCTTTGTGGCCTATGATGATCTTCAAGTATTTCAAGGAATAGGTCGTCCATTGTTGTTCCTTTTTTTTTTTTTTTTCAGTTGGACGTCTACAGAGTATTTTTTTTTTTTTGTCAATGAATATGTGTACACATGAGTGTTGGAAGGGAAGAAGCCTATGTCAGGGGAACATAAATTACTAAGGCAATTATATATATTTTTAAATAAAGTATATTTCCTGGCATTTCAAGTCCAGTAAAATGGTCTGACATAGAATCAGGCTACAACTGTTTCTGATTGCTGCTACAGTGCATGGCCAGAACTATTTTGTTTAACAGCATCAAATATTAGTAGTTCCACTTTAATCAGGACATAAAGTCAAACAATGTTAGAGGTAGAAGGCATTACCTGGGCCTTCTAGTCCAAGCCCAATATTTTACAGATGACTATGTTAAAACCTAAATGGTGAGTGATGTGGATTACCTGTGCCAAATACTGTAGTCAGTGCTTTATGGCCATTTTCTCACTTTGTCCTCACAGCAGTCTTGTGGCATCTATTGTTAGATGAGTACGTGGGGCTTAAAAATTACACTACCTTGCTCAAAATCTTAAGGTTACTTAGTGGTAGAGCTGGAATTCAAAACCAGACAGACTGATTTTTAGACATAATTTATTTCAGGTGTAATTCAGTAATTAAAGATGAATGACAGGCTCTTCTCTCATAGACTAGACACTCAACATGTTGTGATAGTGTTATGTGAGAAATGTGTACAAATATGCAATCACAGAGTAATTAATCATCATTTTACGATAATTGGAGAAGATTTTGTAGAGGAGAAAATAGTTGAGCTGTGCCTTGAAAGATATCTAGGAATTTGCTAGGCAGTCAAGGATATTACAGTTTGTGAAACCTATCAAAGAGTGTCATGTGGATAGTTCTAATAATATTGAGTACTGCTGCGCAACTGAAGGTGGAAATGTAGAGTACGTTGAGGTAGCATACAAGAGACAAGACTGGAAGGGTAAGCATTGCTTAGAGTCTTGTATCTCAGTTCCAGCTTTGATGCCTCCTAGGTTGGTCACAATTTTTCTCCTTCTCCCCAGGTACTCACTGCTCCAGTTGGGTTTATTCAGTCTGTTGAGTGAGATCTAGGCAGTGAGTGTTTGAATTAGGGCAGGAGTCATAGGGTTTAAAAATTAGAAATAGAATAGGGAGAGAGTTTGGAGGTAAAATTTGTTGGGCTCAGTGACTGATGAAATGTCAGAGGTGAAGGAGATTGAAGTATAGCAGATGATGCCAAGATTTCTAACTGCAGAGAGCCAAGTGGGTGGTGATGCTGTTACTTAGGATGGAAAAAGTTGGAAGATAATTGAATCTTGTGTTCTCTAAATTCATTTCATATTTCCCTGAGTTTTAATGTAAGGGAAATATCTTTCTACTTTGTTTCACATTAAGTATAAACAGAGCTATCACAGATTGAAGATATCAAAATTATGCATATTCATGTATGTACATGATTAGAAATATGTGTGATTTTATATATTCTCCTAGTAGAATCTAGGATCCATTACAGTGTTCTATAGCTGCAGAAACTTCTAGACATCATCTAATCAAGAAGTCAAAAATTTGTTCCCAAAGACCTTTTTACTTTGGTTTCCTTTTTTTTTTTTTAAGCCAAACCAACCAGAAAACAAACAAAAACATTGAAAAGGAAATTATTTTGGATGGGTACCATTTAGCATCCTTATCCTCTTACTTTAGAACCTCTGAACTCATTTAAATGAGCTACCTGCTCTAACAGGCACTTGAGTTTTCTACCCTTGAGCTAATTCAACCTTCTCATTGACTAGATGTGAAACTGGGTTAGTTTAACAGACTTTGGAAACAAGGTATGAAGGAGGGAAAAAACAGGAGCAGTAGTTATACAACAAAATAGTTGCATAACTTATATAAACTATAATAATTATAAGACTATAAAAATATTTATGGGAGTAAGATACTTTTAAACAAGATGGGATATTTTTTCCTGCCCCCTCCCCACCACACCCCCCACCAAAAATAACCGTTTTCTATTTTTTCTGTTCATGTAGTGTCACATTGATTCTATATCGTTACCCACAGTGCCACCTATTGGTAAAATAAAGACGACGTAACCAGTTTTTCTGTAACCCATATTTGGTACCAGAGTCTTAAGAAATCTGCCCTGGATTTTCGCAGGCAGATGTTAGAAAGCAGATTGTCTGTGATCCAACTGAAATGGGAGATGAATCACGTGTTTTATGCAGAGATGCTCAAGCTTGTCATTTAGAAGAACTCCAAATAGGATCTCAAAAGCATGATATCCGACTTCCCCAGTTCGTGGTTCTGCCAACAAAGAGCCTGTGAAACTGCTTAGGGATTCTAAGAATTTAGATTGTTCCCACATATTGGGATGCAAATTGTTTTATATGCCATGCTACTCAGGCGTGATTGTTGCTTTTTAGCGACAGCAAGTTGAAGTATTGAGCTCATTTGATATGTGTTCTGCCAGTCTTCATGTTATCACACAGGCTATTAAGTGCCAAAAAAGGCATTAGTTTCACTGAATATATTTAATTTTTAAAAGTTAGTTTTATAAGGTTAGTGAATGTAATTTTCTCTTTCTTCATTATAAGCTTTTCTAGAGAAGGATATTATTTCTACAGAACTAACATAATACCAAATACAGTTGTCTTGATATTGTGGGGGGAGGATTGGTTTCAGGATCCCCTTAAATACTAAAATCCATGCATGCTCAAGTCCCACAGTGGGTTCTGCTGAACCACAGATATGAA